>NC_000002.12:59281261-59584291 GCF_000001405.40 Homo sapiens
GGTAAGTTCATGTTAAGTACTGGTCAAAAAAGGGCATCGATACACCTTCAGAAACATCTTGTATATCTTCCAAATTTCCACATGGAGTCATATAAAAATTATTGGCATTTAGTAATTTAATAATAAACCCCAGGTCTTGAAAGCACCTGAATGATTTAAAATATTTGGTTTTCCCCAATGAGCTAATTAAGCAAAATTTTGAATAACATAATTTGAAATAATAAATACTGGATTTGGAGGAGTCAACCATGTTATCAAGAAGATTTTATACATGTCCATTTAGCACAACTTCAAAAATATAGATAATATGCATCTCTAGCAAGGTTGTCAAACCAATATACCCATACATTGCTAGAACCAAAATATACTGTGATATATTATTAAATATTATTGCCAAGAAGTAGAAAATGTGCATGCTATTTTGCCCAATAATTCTACTTGCATGGCAAAAAAAAGGAACCAGGTATATTCTTCAAGACGTTTATGCAATATTATATTACATAAAAATGTTATGAAGAATGTAATTCCACAATATGGTATTAATTAAATTATTGAGCACATCTAATTACTTGAATATTATGCAGATCTTCAATATAATAAATTGAAACAATATGTCAACAAAAGTGAAGGACTTGATATATATAAAAATGCTGTTCTGTACTATGATTAAAATTATGCCAAATTTATTAATTCACGTGGACAGAAATTTGAGAGAAAACGGTAAATAGTAGTTCACTTTTTGGAATGGTTTAGGACCATTGGTAAAGTTATTTCTTTTATTTTTAACATTTTATTACTTTAGTTTTTCATGTTATTTTAAAAGAAATAACTTCACATACGACACCTTATTCCTTGAGCATATTGGTTTATTTAGAGCTATGCCTCATCCCTCCACACAATGGCCAACATTAATGTGAGTTTTCTGCAGATATCTAGCGCAGCATAAATCCATACTCTTTGCTTAAATAAATCGCTTTATTTTTAAATAGAAGGAATCTTTTTCTTCTTTTCTTTTGGGCTCCAGCAGGTGGGATCACCTACATAAGATATATCTGCCCTAATGTATTCCCTATGACTTTAGTCAAGCTTTCCCTGAGTTTATGTAATCAGCATAACCTTAAAAACTAAATAAATAAAAATCTGAACAGGTGGACTTCTGAGCAGGACGAGTTTTCTTAAGCTCTCGTGGCTCTAACTGTTACATGCAAATTGTTCAATAAATAACGTTGGCCATAAAAAGAAAAGATATTAATTAAGAAGAGGATTTAGGCTGACTCAGTCTCATACATGAGACAAAAGGTTAAGTAAATGCCAAGGCCGCTGTGCCTCTTCAAACAATGAATATTAGTTTTAGAATCATTAATGTCTGCTTAGAAAACAGAGTCATATTGGAGAATTGTATGCCAAAATAACCAAGGCCAGAGCTGTTTCTTTTCAATCTGAATTGAAATAATTCTCCAACCAACGGCTAAATGTATGCAGTTAAGAGTGTTAGGCAGGACAACAGGGACCGGCACTTTGAATATGTAGCCAAATTGAGATCATGTTTTTCTTTGAATGTAATAATATGCACAGTTAATACATATCAGCAAAATCTGATAAACTTTGCTGAGGAAAAGCAGGGCTAACTGGTGACAGGAAGCCATTGCATTTTCTGACAGGAGGACAGTAGAATCCCCAGGGCAGGCCAGTGTAGGACAGGAATGAAGACCTGGCCCAGATAGGTCTGCCCACAGCCAGACAGGGTTCCTCTAAGAGCAGAAAAAAAGTGTCTGCAAAGCAAGATCTTTTGTAGACTCACTTCTGTTTCCCCAATAAGTTAAGCCTGTGGTGCTTTCTGTATTGATCTGGAAATTCTGCAAGCCATCTTGCAGTGAATCTTTTCACTAGGGTTATTCTTCAAACACTTTCCTACCTTCTGGTCAGAGAAGCTGTCCAGTAAAGTTTACAAACTAACTGACCTGGTGAAATGGCTCACTCCTGTATTCCCAGCACTTTGGGAGGCCGAGGCTGGAGGATCACTTGAGATCAGGAGTTGGAGACCAGCCTGGCTAACATGGCGAAACCCTGTCTCTACTAAAAATACAAAAATTATCCGGGCATGGTGGCACATACCTAACAGCTACTCTGGAGCTGGGAGACATACCTCCCAGCTACTTGGGAGGCTAAAGAGGGAGAATCGTTTGAACCCGGGAGGTGGAGGTCGCAGTGAGCTGAGATCACACCACTGCACTGCAACTTGGGCGACAGAGCAAGACTCTGTCACACACAAAAAAATAAAGTTTACCAACTAATTTATATTAATTTATATTTCTTCTATTTCAATTGAGTTTTCCAATTACCATGTGGGATTCTGACATCTCTATCAATTCAAAATAAGCCCTTTAACATTAATACTTTCCAAAGGTCGGCATAAAGTATTTGTGTTTACAAATCTGGAGAGGTGAAGTATACATTCAAATTCTAAAATTTAGAGGGGTCATTTTGGTGATAAATTATTTTATAATTATTGCTAATGTTAATTGGTATAGAATATAACTTTAATATGCAGTTTAAAATTCCTGTTAAATACCTGCTGTGTATAATGTCTGTGGTATTAAAAACAATTTGGATTCAATAAATGTCTTTTGCCTCTACTCGTATTTCTCTAAATGTCTACATATGAGTATTCACTTAAAAGATAATCCAATCCATTATATCTAATGCATTCATTTTTATGATATCGACTTCTGGAATCAGACTTTTAGCTAAATATGGAAAATATGTCTTGTAATTCCAGCTTGAACGCTTAGTGATTAAAGTGAATTCTGAGGTTTGTATTTCTGAGTTTGGAGGATCCCTAAAATGAGGCAAGAAATGCAGATGAAAAGTGAAGTGAGAGGAGATGAAGGAGGGATCCTGGTTAGGTGTCTCCTCCTTGGCTGCTTGATGGAGCAAGTTCAGTTAGCAGTTCCACCAGGTCCTGCTCTCATTTCTCCACCTTGAAACCATGTGATGCAACCTGCCTCTCTCATGCCCCCTCTACTACTTTTCTCATTTCTCAGATATATTTTATGAGGTTAAAGAAAATGTCTAAAGAAACACATCAACACTAAAAGAGTCAGTTGGTAGAGATAAAATCATTAAATGTGAGATGGCTTAAATATCTTCAAAGTGGGATAAAATTTCAGAGCATTGTTTTTATTATCTAAATCACTAATCATGAATTTGATAGAGACCTTTTTTTTCTTATTATAAGCTCCTTACTGAATGCTTAACTCAATGACCAAAATTTCAACTTATATATATATATAAAATACACACGAGCACTATGTAGATAATGCATGTATACACAATATATATGTGTGTGTGTATTATGTATATAAAATATGTATGTATTATGGATATATAATGCATATATACTTATATACATATGCTTATAACTCATATATATGTATATATGTGTGTATATATACATTACATGCATACACACATATGGTTGGAGAGTGAAAAGTGTGTGTGTGTGTGTGTGTGTGTGTGTGTGTGTGTGAGTGTGGGTGTATATGCCTTCCAGACAGTGTAGAACTAGAGACAAATTTGTCCTCTGAAAACATCAGAAGCAGCTGTCCTCTGAAAACATGGCCTGAAGCAGCTGACAGGCCATGAAAACTAACAAGTCATAGACAGGACAGTCTCATATTGGGTCCCTTTGTTAAATTCTGGGTTGAATTTCAAAACCAATTGTTTCTATGCCAAGTTACCCTAACAGAGGTCAATAGTGAGGTAGGCATGGCCATAGAGGTGGTGAGTGCTGGGAACTTTGTATTTGTCAGAAGTTCCTGAGTCCCTGATGTTATAGAGGCAGGTGGGCAAAGAGTAAAGTCTCATGTTGGTCTTCCTCTGTCCTAGAAGGGGTGAGAGGCTTTATGTGGACAGGAATAGATAAAAAGCAAGGTAATTTATCAAGGATGGGTGAAGGGTGTGGTACAGAATGGGAAAGAGTGAGTGAAGTACCCAGAGGAAAAGATAAAAATGAAGACATATATGCATGTAGAGTGAAATAAACAAGAGAAAGCACAGAAGGCGGCAGATGCAGAAGCTGAAACAAACAAAACTAGGAACCCCAATTAAGGAGACAAAGGGGACAAAATATAAAAATATAGAAGAGGTTGGAACAGAGCCAAAGTAAGAGAATGTGAACTGGGGTTGGGAAGGGAAATAGAGAAAGCAGGGGAGTAACTGGCTTAAGGTAAAGATAAATACAAAGAAACTACATCAAGTGAGATAGCAAGTACAGGCAAAGGGAACACTTTGAGGGGACCAGAGAGCCTGGTGGCATTGGAGAAGTCACCAAAAGGGCAAAGACATTATGGGAGGAGAAAAAAATAGAAGAAACTCTATTTTCAATACAAAGGAAAATTAAGTGTATTAAAAGTCCCCTTTACTAAGGAAGCACAGGTGCCTGGAATGGGATGGAGGGAGGCAAAGGGGACAAAAGAATGGATGTCATGTGTCCTTCCTTTTAGAAATCCATAGTGAGAAACACCCGTCCAGTACATAACAATCAACCGTTGAGAAAAATGAGGAAGTTAAATTTAAATACTAAATGTTTGATGGGGACAGTAAATGTTATAGGAGTTAAGAGGTTAGAGAAGATGATTTGGCAAGTTATTGGTAAAATTTTGATTACAAAAGCCTTGAGCTGGAGCTTGCTGGAGAAGCAACTTTTTGCAGTGATGGAGAGATGGATGTTCTACACTTAGTCCCTCTAAGCCTCCTGGTGGGTTTGACATTTGTAAGGGAAGTCTTGTACCCCAACCGCCATCACTGCTAATGCACCCAAATTGCTCTTCTCTTACCTGGCCCTGGCCTCAGAAGCTGCAACCCTACCTCCAAATATATCCTTCCCTTCCATGCCTCTGTGTTTGGGGCAGTAATACTTCCTCCTACTGCTGGTTTATCCTCCTTGCTCTATTCTAAACTTCTTCATCCATAAATCATCCACTCATCCTCCTAGGCTTAAGTCAAACACCATCTCTAATTAAATAAAATTAATTAAAGTACTGCAGTTAAAGTTTCTGGGACATTGTCTAAACATAGAAGGCTCAAATAGGTGCTAGTTTCCAATTCTCTGGAGGATACAGACCATTGACCCACTCAGTCTTCATTCGATCTTTCCTCTAATTGAAGAGATTAGAAAACTAAAACTATCTTCCCAGTTTCCTTGCAGCTAGAGTTTAATGTGAATTAAATTTAGCCATATTTATACCTACATGACTTTGAAGGGTGGAATGAGGTAGAGGCTACCTCCTTGCCCCTTTGGCTGTTTCCACAAGGGGACAACGCTCTGAGGAGATGAGTGTCTTCTATGGTGGCGTTCCTTGTCAATTTTTCAGTTTCCTAAATGTGCTGACAGGCACTTAGGATGGTAATAGCGGAAGTAGCAGCTACTGAATTCCAGTCCCCCTTCCAGCTCCACTGGCAGCCTTAGAGGGAATAGCTCCTTTAGAGGGTCCAAGTCATTCTAGGAGATATTCCTGACAGCTCAGCCTAGCACCTCAGCTCCCAATTCTTCCACCAATTTTTAAGAACCTAATTCCCTGTATTAAATTCCTTCTGCTTAAAATATTTTGAGAATTTTCTGTGTATTCATTGAAACCTGGCTGATACAAGTTCTAATATAAACAGCTATAGCAATTTGGAGACTTGTAAGGCAACAATCATGTACTCTTATGTGCTGCAGTTAATTGTTTATGGATTACACATGCTTTCTTGGCCTTCTATGCTGTAAGTCCTTAGTATCCCAATCCCAAAATATATAGCACAGGGTCAAATAGGATATCCACAAAAGCGGATTAATCACTGCATTCAGTTCTCAATATCAGGTCCCAGGCAGTGTGGGGAGTATCTTCACTGTTTATTTATTGTTCTTCTCTTGGATTGTTCTTTCTCTACTCCGAAACCAACAATTAGACAGGGAAAGTAAAAAATTCTGACACATCATACCATTCCCAATTTGCTAATATGTTCCTTTTGAATATGCTTTAGTGTCAAGTTTGGGGTGGGGTGGACAGAAGCAGAGCCTTGGCTCAGTGTGCACTTATGGATTTCAAATATCTTTGAGGTCCTTTCTCCAAAGACTGCAGCTACCTGAAAATGGGATTTCATGTAAAAATTTGCTGGCAGAGAATCCTTAATGTTGGCATGAAACAGGTACACAAGAATCAGGACCTGAATTCTGAAAACAGTGCCAATAGAATGAAGCATTAAAATAATGCCAAATAATATTATTGTTGGCTTTCTGCAAGTCTCATTGTAATTTCTGTAATTAATATATTTATATTTACAGTTAAAATATAAAGCAGAACTATTAAGAGATCATGAGCTTGAGTTTTATAAGCTGCTGCTTTCTACAGCCTGGGGAATTTTGAGATGTTTTAGGTATTTTATGATGCAATTATTATCTTCTTCAGGCTTCAACTCACAAATATTGAATTTGGTTTCTCTGCCCAATTTGTAAATTATCTTTGTCTGAACCATCATCAAATAGAAAAGAATGCAGCAAAATATGTGTTATTATTAATTTTCTTTCCACCATGTTACAAAATTTCCAGTTCATTCCAAGTACTTGCCTAAGAAATGCAACAACAAAGTAGTGAACGTTGAGAAAGTTAAAACAATTAGTACATTAATTCATTGTTAAAGACCAGTCTTAATCTAAAGCAAAAGCAAGAAACAAGGTGGTGTATAAAAATGCCAGTCTGTAATCTTATAAGTGTTTTTCAAAATGAATGACCAAGACATGTTTATGTGATCCCTGCATTTCTCTTCTTCCCACTCATTTCCACTCTACAAAAGTCCACACATCATTATATTCGACAAACATAAGCAGCCACTTGGAAAATATATATTTGGGTTTTCCACAAATGCCCCAATGTCCCTGTCACATAGATGCAAGTGTCATTAGAAGAAGATATGTAATGCATTAAGTGCTTTGACATTTGGGCATGTTGACTTAGCCTTTGGATGTCATTAGTACTTAACTTGCTACTCCTCTAGCTCAAGTCCAATTTCTTGGGCTTGGCCTTTAGTGAGGGTATTACTGAAATTCATCAATGTTACATCCTTTCCCTTAACTGAGAAGCTACCATATTTACAATTAAGAATCAAGAAAATACCAGGAGGAGTCAACCATTTCCAGTTGCCTCTTGCTTCTTTCACAGAGGAGCTGAGCCCATCAAAGAGAAGCCAGACTTTTTTTAACAAGGAAGTGCCCATCCCACAGACACATGAAATACACATTTTACTTGTTAATTCATTCTTTCACTTTCCATGTGCTAAACAAGAGGATTATTTTGAAGAAGTCTAGTCTCAGACTTGGAAAGCTCATAGTCTCCCGGGGGAGACAGACACATCAATAAAATTTGCCCGGCTCAGTGATGCTTCCTGCCACAGAGGCATCAACAGTGCCCTCTGGGAACACTGGGAAGGGGCAACCCAGAAAGGAGCCCTGAATACATTCTCAGTAAATATGCAAACTTCTCGCTAAATGTGTTGTGGTGGCAGTGGAGGACAAGTTGATGTCATTATATTCCTTTTAGAGAGAGAAAAAAAAAATTCTGAGATGCAGGAAAAAATGGAAGTAAACTTTTCCACAACCATCATACAGAGCTGAGATTAGAACCGCTTCTGATGGCACAGTGACTCAGCCCAGCAAAATAGATGTGCTGTTCCAGCATTGCTTGGCAAAAAGCCCTCCCTGCCATGGGTAGAAAAGATGCTACATTATGCTTCATATTCAAAATATGTTATACAATCCAGTTGGAATTCACTGAAGCTGTGCTTCTCACTTCATTCTAGACCCTTAAGGGACACCTGAAAGTAAATGGTGGGCAAAGTACCACCTATTTTTCTATGTGTCTTCTCCTTTACAAAGCCAGCTCTTCCTCCTGACGTTCTTATTCATGTTAAAGTGGCTACTATTTCCCTGTTATGCAAAAACAAAGAGTCGGAATCAACTGTGAGCCCTTTCTTTTCCCTTTTACTCCTATTTAATCAGAACCTAAGGTTTACCCATTTTTCTGAGTATCACATGACCATATTTTGTTTTCTATTCCCCATCCCTCCATTCATGTCATGACACTCTCACTCTTCCAGTGGTACCCCACCTGCCTGTCCATCTCTAAGCTGTTTGGATTAACACCTCTGATTTGTCTTCCTGCATTTCTCCTATGATCAATTTACCATGCACCCTAGTCCCAAAACACTAGTCTCTCTTCTGCCTTAAAGAAAGAGAATGTTAGCTTGGTCCCTACCACCTTTCTCAGGCTCAGGCTCACAGGTCCCCTTCTTGCTCCCTGACCCAGCCAACTACTTCCTCACTGTTGCTCAAATTCACCTGGCATTCCCACATTTTCATTTTTGCCTGGGTCACTGGGAGAGTGAAATTCCTGGATTGCCCCTTTCTTTATATCTGCCTTTCTTAAAATCCCACCTTTTGTCAAGGTTCCACTCATCCCCTTGAAAACTTTCTTGATCATTCCAGCTAATCACATTTTCTTTCTGCTCTGTACTCTCAAAGATGGTATAAGCCAAACCCCTACTTTGGCCCTCAGCATTAACAGAGCTGGTCAGGAAACACTGTATTTTCATGCCTGCACATCAAATTTTTCTCAGATATTTACTGAAGGCCTAATATATGCCAGTCATTGTGAGAAATGCTTTATTTATATCATCTTAATAGTCTTCCAAATACCTTATGCATCAGTAGTCCATTTTCAGGTGAGAAAACCAAGTTCCAAGAAAAAAATCCCTAAAAGACATAGAGCCACACAGCTAGCAAGCACCCAATCTGGAATGGAGCTTGTCTGTCAGATGACAGGTCCATTAGATCTCCATTGATACTATTCTGTAAACACCATGATAATAAGGACTATGCCTAGGACCTCTTTAGAAGCCACCAGTGTTAACATAATGCAAATGCTCAATGCATATGTATCTAACAATAGCTTTGTTTCATAGATGCTCTGCAGCCTGTGTTTTAAAAGAGTAACAATGGAGTATAAGCCAACTACAGGCTCTAAATGTCCAACTACGTTTATATTCTGCAGAAGTCTAAACACAAACCTATTCTCGTCCCTCAAGGAAACTACAAGAAAGCAGATTTGTTCATCACTGAGAAAGGGAAGGTCTTAGAAATCACACCTGTCAGTGAGCAAAGAAGTCTCAATATGTCCTGGTAGCCCTTTTCTCTTCACTATTAGATTTGGGGTTAGGGTAATGGCACAAGTCCCCTAGGGTATATTTTGACATAGAAGATGGTGACTCCAAGTCTGTGAATTTACATCACTCTGCTCTTTGGGATTTGGTCCTCCACAAAAACCTTCCACCAGTTTGCACCAATTCAATTAGGTGCTCCCAATGGCCCTAGTGAGAAGTGGTGACCTGCTATTTCACCACAGAGCCAGAGGAAAGGAATGGCAAGTCCTGCTTGGGACAAGATTCCTTTGGATGTAGAAAAGTCTTCATTATAACCAGGTTAAAAATAGGAGAGTCGAGCATCTGAGATTCCTCAAAACACTGAACAGAGATATGACTTGCTTGAAGTTCAGAAAGTTCATGTCTGCACAGCCAGTGGTTAAGGAAATTTTTCATAAACCTCAGAGGTTCTGTGAAGATGCTGGCTTCTAAGAATGTCAATCTCTGTGATGAAAGATAACTGAAGTCAGGTTAAAGAATAATGTTTGCATCTTAACTGTGTGGGTTCAAGAAGCTGTACCCCACTAGAGTTAGCTAATATTATGCAAGCTTTGAAAAGAGAGATGTTTTTGTGACTAGGATAACCTAGGGAGAATAAAAAGTCTGATTTGATGAAAAGCCTCTGGTAAAATTAGAACCTGCTTCTAAGCTTATTCAAAGAAAATGGAAAGTAATGAAAATTAAGAGTGGCAAAGGAATCTTGCAAAAATCCTGACAAGATGGCAATCTAGAATTCAATAGAGTTGATTTTGTCTTTCTCTATGGTTTCATCAGATTTTTTTCTCTTCCTTTCCATTTCTCTCTCTTTCTGTCTCTCTCAAATAGCAACACATGCCTTCTTTCTTAGCAAATTTATTATATTCATAAAAAACAATTTTAGAGAGTGCATGTAAGCTTTTAAAGAAGAGGCTTTTTCTTTAAACAATGGGGAAACTATGCACATCAGCAATCTACCAACAAACAGTTACCTGATGCAAAATTAATTCAAGGTGTAGTGTAAGGTTCTACAGAGACAGAAAGTGGCTGATTTTAGGCAATTCTTCAATTTTAAAAATTTAGCCTGGAAAATGGCATTTTTCTGGAATATCATGATTTGAAAACTGCTTATTATATCAAGAACCAGGAATAGAACCTGGAATGGGGATTGGAGACATGTTTAATACTGGGGGCCAGGAAGAGGCTGAAGGCAGGACACAAATAAGATCTAAGTGTGTTACCCACAGAGGACAACCACACAGTCAAGATCAAAGCCAGGAGACATGGAGTTAGCCAATTTTAACCAGCATAGTATTCATTAATTGATCAAATCTAATGGGTGCCTTACTCTCTGCTCCACAGGCTTCAGAATATGAATACAGGCCAGACCTGTGGGACAAGACAGACCCTGAAGTCAAAGCTGCAGGTACAAGAACAAGAATTGGGAGAGCAAAGTGAGCTATAGAAGTCTAAATCCCAGGACCCTCAGTAAAACAATGTTAGATCACTGTTGAGCCAACCACAGTAAACAGCAGTCTGCTTATTTCCAAGGATTAATGATTAATGTTTTATCCCTGGGCAGGGTTGGAACAAGCCAGGGATTCAGTCTGATCCTGGAAGTCAGGGGCATCCCAGGTGCCTGAAGACCTTTCCTCTTGTTGCTCAATCTAGCACACAGGAAAGAAATCATGTCATGGAAAAGGTGTGGACTACGGAGTCTTCTTCCCAGTGCTGATGTAAGGAGTAGTGACAGTTAGAGACTGGAAACATCTAGGACAGTGCCTGGCAAATATTGGGCTGAAATCTTTATCCTTCAGCGTCTCATTAGGCATCCTTGGGTAAACCACACAGACTCTCTGAGCCTCAGTTTCTATCTGTGTAGTATGGGCATCATGACACCCCAGCACCTGTCCTTGGTCTGCCTGTTCTCACATCTGTTTTCTGCCTTTTCTCTGCTCTGCTCTATATTTCTGGGTACTGACCCTACAAAAAGCATTTCTCTGTTTTCTGGCCAATGAGAGGCACTGGGCTAGGTGGTATAGAGGGCAAGGGAACGAGAGATTTGCCTCTCCATCTCACTGCCTTGCATGGCCTTTCCAGAAGTAACCGTCTTTCCTCTGTGCTTCTCTCTGGGCTCTAGGAATTCCACCTCCTTCCTTTTCCTGCCAATATGAGAGTGCCTCACCATTCCCGGTTTGGCTTCTCAGTCTTATATTGCCTGTGTTAACCATTCACTGTCTTAAATTCTCTGGATTGCCAATTCTCTGTATCCAATCTTCCCTGTTATAAATATTTAGAGGTTTCCTGCTTGGATCCTGACTAACACACTCCTCATAGTGTTGTTGTAAGGGGTAGTGATAATTACAGACACGATGCATCTAGTACAGTGCCTGGTGAATAATAAAGTGCTCATTCACTTGCCAAAGGTGTATGGTTGTAGAAGGAAGACCTGCTGTATGTGAGCCTCTCCAGTTCCTGTTTCAGACTCTATCTCTAGTTTGTCTTCATTGTGCCTATACTTTCCATGGCATTTGTTTGGTAACAAGACATGCATGGTTTTGCATGTGATGTTATACTTTTAAATTAATGTTTCATTCCATTTATGGCCATAATGTGCCAGAAATGTTCTGGCTCAGCAGAACCTGCCAGCAGGTTCTGATTAAAGCCTTGTTGCTGAATGTCTGAGTGTTCACATTTACTTCCCCCTCCCCTCTTAGGGTGAGTGCCCAGTTCCCCAGGTGGTCTGAGGCTGGGCACTCCCTCCTGAGCCCAGCTGATGCTTTCTCACTTAGCTTGAGGGGACCATACATGGGCCCGTGGCAGCTGTGACAGATCCTGGACAGCTATCACAGGCCAGGTTTTCTTGGCCACGGTGTTAGGCATCTGTGTGCTCACCTAGAGGAATAAGAGCAGTGCAATGTCATTGTTGCTTACAGGTGTCTTTTTTGCTCCTACAGGCTACCACGAAACCCTTTGCCTAGAAGTACAATTAGTATCTCTTTCCTGCGTACTTCACTGTTAAAACTCAGGAGTGTGGAATAGGCCTCCTAAACCATAAGTTAGCTTCAGGATCTACACTCTTTTCTTTAGAATTTGGATCATGACTAGGGACATCCTCTGTATGTCTTTGGCATGATATTTAACCTCTTAGAGCCATAGTGTCCTCAGCTGTAAAACTAGCACAACAGAACCTTCCTGGTACAATTTTTTTCAAATCACAAGTATCAGCTGTTTAAAAATCAAGGGATCCATGAAGTAAACAAGTCATCTCATCTGTGTGGATCTAAAGAATCATAGATTGTTTGGATGCAGAAGGTTTAATCTCAAGACTGTAGGACACAGAGTCACTTTGGTCTCCAGTGGCTCCTTGAATAACCTTTGTCCTGTTTCTTAGCTCAACTAGAAAACCCAAGACTTACACCATTTTATGTTCTACGGAAGCTACACAATTAGAATAAAATATGGCTCTTGTCCTCAAGAAGGTTTTAGTTCAGTTGAAGAGAGAACAGTATAGTTTCTTTTCTATTCTGCTTAGCTGTCCTAAAAAGAGACTCATGCCTGGCAAAGTATGGCACATTTCTTATAAGATGAGGCCTGGAGATCACTGATAGCAACTGTCTCTCCTGCTAGAATGTTTTGGATAATGGAAGAAAATCTAAATTTACCAGTAAAACAAATCCCAAGCTAAGTTGCGAGCCCTGAGGGTATCTACTATAAAAGCTCATTTCTTAGGGCTAAGTTCTCTTGGACTGGCCCACCAGAAGAGTCTCATTATAAAGTCAGGCATCTTTCCTTTTCCAGAAATTAACTCTTTTAAATCTTCCAAGTTTTCCCTTTGCATTTTTCTACGTAAAATCCTGATCTACAAGGCTAGTTGATAAATTTTGTTTAAAAATCTCCAATTTTCTTTCCTTGAAAAATTAAGGTAAATAATTTATGAGCCCAGCATCTAGTGTTTCTTTCTATCTTTTGATTCTTTCCTCCTCCAAATAGGAAGACAGGAAACACTTGGACCAAAGGCAGTACCCAGCCCATTGTCCATGCTGGTCTTCCTTTAAAAGAAGGAACTCCAAAATCATACTTAATAGAAATCAATGGCAAATGGGCACAGTGTACAAACTACAGAGTCTTGATTGCTGGGTTATCTGATCTGGGGAGCTCATGCCTAGATTCACAGAAATTTGGAGCATTTATGGAGTCATCAAGATAGTTTAGTAGGTCAGGGAGTGAACAAGAGTGGAGGGGGTGGGGTAATTGTATTTTTTCCTTTGGCTGGCTCCGTAGCATTTTCTTATCTGAAGATTTAGTGATGTAAAGTTTCAGTGGCTTTCTCTACCTACCACACCATTGTTTCCCTTTCCCTTTTTGTCTTTTCCTTTTTTCTTTCTTTGCAGGTAGCTCCTATCTTTAACGTCAGCAGTAATCACTGTGGTATTTTTGCTTAGGCAGTTTTGAAGAGTCAGAATTGGGCTATAATTGAAGAGTTCATTACCAAGATCGGTTGGTTCCCTGATTACAGTGGCAAGGTGAAATATTTATCCTCTCCAAAAAGCTCCTGCACAACTGTTCTCCAAGTCACCCACTTCTCACTCTTTTTTCATCCGAACCCGGATGAGCTTGTCAGCAAAATTAAAGGTATGTCATTCACATCGTGCCTGCATTGCAAAGGACTATAAACCTGCCAACCTCTTTGATGAAATAAAAGGATTTTATTTATGATTCATGTAGGAATATGAGGTTATTTTTATTCCGTCAGTACACTAATAATCAGACGAGGGCTCGGGAAATGAGGAGCCCACTGACAGGGAAGGTTCTGATAAAGGGGAACCCTCTAGGGTGTTTGCCCCTCTTTGTAATATCCTTTCTAGTGTGAGGTTATGAGCATGGCAGAGTGTGAGCCAGCTATAAGGCTTGGCTGCAGGAACAAAGACAGATGCAATCCAGCAGGACTTGGGATGCCATCCGTTGAAGGGGAAATAAAAAAAGCAGTCCCTTCGACAAAAAAAAAGTTTTTGCTCCGGCCTCAGGTTAGCAATTTGGAGCCTCCCCAGTTTCCTGTGATGTCTCCAGTTCAAAAAACAGCCGATCCTCCAGTCTGCACTCCTACTGGGCATTCTAGCCTAAGTTAAAAAAATAATAATAATATGAAAAGATAAGTAAAAGAAAAAGAGAGAAAGAAAAGCCAATTGGCCAGGTTCCTTCCACAATCATTAACCATTTGTTCCTGCCACCCAATGTCCTTGGTTAAGGTGATCTGACTTAAAGGCAAACAAATGTGGCTGAGTATATTTCAAAGGACACCCTTGTCTTGTTATTTCAAATACTCCCATAATTTGGGGCCCCTTTCATCTTTGTTCCTGCTCTAGGAAGTGCTTGGAAGTTATTTTAATTCAAGTTGGGGGTAAATTCTTATTCTTACCCATTGCTCCCATTGAGATGACCTCAAGCAATTCTGAATAAAAAGTTATCACGGCATGAACTGGGCAGCATTAAGGCCTGTGATTTGTTCAACAGTGACATCTTGGCAGAGAAACAGAAAGACATATAATCTACTGAGAATGAAGTGCAAGAAAGTTCACTGGAGGAAGGAAAATAATACTAATCCTTTATTCAATAAGCAGTAAGTCGAATGAGGTGCTTCTTTTTTTAAGGTTTAGTAAGTGAAAAGTAAATTTAAAAAGCAGTGCCAGCTCAGATGGGGCAGGAGTAGTTATCTGATGGGGTCCTGCCAGGAAATTTGTTTTTATGACAAAGTGTCAGTGAATGTTATCTGCATGTATTTATGTATATGCATCCATATATCTGTCTAGAAAAGACACATTGGCAAGAGGACCTGTCTGAAAATCAGGAGTCCTGGCTAGTTTTTCAGAATCAAGGGTCCACTGTTTGCCTTCCTCATTCCATACAGAAGGGTGCTTTTCTCAATGATGTTATTGCATCTTTGACTGAAACATGCGTT
The DNA here is from genome assembly GCF_000001405.40 of Homo sapiens. NCBI lineage: Eukaryota > Metazoa > Chordata > Mammalia > Primates > Hominidae > Homo > Homo sapiens. The sequence goes on from NC_000002.12 coordinate 59,296,434, forward strand.
AAATGACACCAGAACATTCTTGCAGAATGACCTAATCCCTGGAGGTGTTATCTCCAGAAGTCAAACCCCTGGCTTCACTCCAGAGTAACCAAGGCCTGAGCCATAGATCCTGCGAGAAGGCACACACAGTGCTTCACCCCAGAATCTGTCTGCTTGGGCACTGAGTGGTTAAATTTCACCTGTCACCCTGTACTACCTTAACAAAGTAAGACAAAAAATGTCTTGCTTGGGAACTATCTGGTCAAAATAATTCGTCCCTTTAGAAAGCCAAAAAGTAATCTAAAAAAGAAAAAGTTTTCAATACATAATCTGATAAAGTAACCACCTAGTTTGAGAGAAATGGCATGTTTGGAAGTGCCCTTTGCTGGAAGCCTGTAAACCTGCATTCTAGTCTGTATTCCACAGCTAAACTTTGATATGGCTTTAGCGAGTGGCCTTACGTCGGCATGCCTCTGCTTCATCATATCCAAAACAAGACTCTCTCAACTCCTTTATCAACTGCTTGAGCAGTAAAGGATATATTGGGTGTGAATGTTTGGGAAGGGATAAACCTTGATACAAAACCAAGCTATTTTTAACTGTGAAATTCTACATTTGGAAATGGGCTTTGTAGTAGTGTGTACCAACCAGTGTCTTAGAGCTGGGTTCTAGAAATGGCTTCTACTCTAAGACAGGATCTGTCATTTTCTCTTGCCACTTGGTGGATGGAAAAAGCTGGGGAATGATGGGGCCTAGGGAGGCAATTGTTGGGTTATGCTTGGCACCCACTGCAGACTTCCATTAGATAAATCAGGGGCCCAGTGGTCACTGTCAGAACAAAGTGGGACAAATCCTGAGTCCCTAAACATTGTGGAATGGTCTAGTTCATGGGATCCAGAGATTCCAAGCTTTTATTTATTTTTTTGTTATTGAAAGAGCACAAAAATGAGGAGTCCTTTATCTAGTTAGCAGTAGGGAATTGACAAAAAAATTATGGAGGAACTATTTGAGAAATTATAGCATCTCTGTAGTCCCATATCATGATCTGTAAATGCAGCCTCTTTCACCATGACAGAGAAAACCCTGAGATGTAAGGGAGATGGCCTTATGCCTTTATTTCCCACAGCCACGAAGCTCACCTCTCATGCCTACCCTAGCGCCAGAAGGTAGAGCAGGTAACTACTCCATTGGCCCTAGATTTCATTCTCATGGAGCAGAGAGGTTCATTATATTCTCTTTATCAGCAGTGAGGTTTACAGCTGAAGCCATAAGAGAGATCTGTGTGAAACATGAGCCGAGAGAGAGGCACTGTGTCTCACCATTAATAAGCCCTCTTCTGGGATCTGGCATTAGTGAGATTCAGCGGATCATGGAGCACAGGGGTATCATTTTTACATGATTACTCTAAATTCTTAAACCAGAGGCTTAAGAGAGAGGCTTCTCACAAAGGCAGCCGTGGGAATTGTTGACTGATTGGTACAACACTTGCAGTGGGTTAAACCACTTCAGGTAGCTCCACTTGTGGGGCTTACAATCAGGTATTTAGCAATCTGCTTTCCAAGGAAGGGGAGAGGGAGCTGAGGAAAGGGAGTGATGTCAGGCGATAACAGGTGAGCCTGACTCACTGCTAGCCATGGTGCACTCCTTGTTAGCAGTATCTGCAGCCCCACTGTTCCCTCCTTCCACCCCTGCTGGATTTGCCAGGCTTCTCACCAGTTTGGTAACTGAGATTATCTGCTTTTTGAACACTAATGCCATTACTTGTCTTTGAAAAGGACTGCACCCTCTCCCTGTAAACTCACCCTCTCTTCTTTGCAGAAGTGTGAAGCCTGGTTGGAATGACTGGTTCAGACAACTGGCAACCTGTCCTCTCAGCCCAAACATGCTTCCGTTTTCTGAAATAACATTCATTTTCAGGAAAAAAAATATACTGATGCTATTTCCTGTCTCCCTTTGATCCAAAATTCCAGCAACTCCTGTAGTCTCTAGCAGGTCTCTTTGAAGGTAATGTACCTAAATGTGCCTGGATCAAACTCCACTGGGCTTCTCTGTCCATGCATCAAGTAAAGTTTGATTTTGTCAGCTCAGAACAGGGTTACCTGCCTCCATTCAGAACAAGTTAACACTCAAAGAAGTTTTCACAGGAGAAATTTGATGCTACTTTCTGCTTTGCCTCTGAAGGCGCTAAAAACCCAGAAAATGGTCTCAGCACAACTTTAGTGTTGGAACTCTAAAGATGCCTTATTATCTGATGGTAAGTAGAAACATTTGTTGAAGCCCACAACTTGCCCTTAATGATACTGGGTTTTGTACTATTCTCTTATTGTTTCAGAGGTTGGCATCACCTCCTCAACAATGAATGAGAGGCTATGCAGTTAAAGAGCAGGGACTATGCTTGTATACTACTCTTGAACAAACAGGGCTCCAAGCACAGCCCTGGGCTGACTTCAATACAAATTGGCTGACTTCAATGGAAATGCAATTTGCATTTTTCAGGCTCCTTTTCCCAAAGCCACTGACACTTATTTGAAATGGTGTTCAAAGTGTTTAAATCTGTATGAGATCTAGATATCCATATTGTTATGGGCTGAATTGTGTCCCTCCAAAATTCATGAGTTGAAGCCCTAACCCCCACTGTGACTGCATTTGGAGACAGAGCCTTTAAAGAGGCAGTGAAGGTTAAATGGGGTCATAGGGTAGGGCTCCAGTTCAGAACTGGTGTCCTTACATGAAAAGGAAGAGACAGCAGAGATCTCTCTCTCTCTCTCTCTGCATACACATAGAAGAAAGGCCGTTTGCAGGCCAAAGACAGAGGCCTCACCAGAAACCAACTCTGCTGGCACCTTGATCTTGGAATTCCAGACTACAGAACTGGGAGAAAATACATTTCTGTTGTTTAAGCCACCCAGTCTGTGGTATTTCATTATACCAGCCCAAGTAGACGAATGCATACACCCCATTTCACAAAAGATTGAGAGATGCAAGTTCGCGGCAGAGCCAGGGTTAAAATACACATGTGTGCTCTCACAGCTGGTGCTCATTTCACTCTACCATGTTATAGTTGTGAGGTACAGAAAACACTGATAGAGAATGGAAGGGAACCGGAGTATACAAATAAAATATTAATATTTAATCATAGTGAATTCCTTACATTATCTTCTCCTTTTACTTGTCAATTTATCTGAGATGCAACAGCCTTTGGAAACCTACAGATCTGTAGATCGTGAGAAGGAAAGGGAAGGGGAGGCGGATGGCTTCCTCCAGAAGTGATATATATTAGGAAGTCCCAAAAATCCACTACAACAGGAAGTTTTCCACAGAGCTAATGTCAGGGAGCACCCTCCTAAGGAGATGTTTTGCTTCGTTTCATTTCTCCCAGACCATGCATATGTATGTAACTGAGATAGCTGTTTAGAACTTTTCTCTCACAGAAAATGAGATAACCATTAGGACAACAGGCTGACAATATGAAAAATGAAGTTATTCTTCCACATACAAAAATTTCAGATGAATCTAAGATCTAAGTGTAAAAATAAACTACAAAATACTGGAAGAAAGTTTGAGTGAATATTTATATAATTTTGAAGGAGGAGAGGTCTTGTCACATATGACATTGAAGACAGAAATTCTAAAAACATAATGATACATTTTTGCCTTATAAAAGTTAATCATACTTGTACAACAATAAAAGCAAACCAGTTAAAAATACTATCAACAAGTATTTAAAATGTCTGGGAATATTTGCAAATATGTAGCCAATACAGTGTTAATATATGTAATATATTTGCACATATGCAGTGAACAAAGTGTTCACATAAAATATAGTTAACAAACTGTTAAGTGTTAGTGTAAAGAGTTCTTCCTACTAACTAAGAAAATGACAAATGTTTCAAAAATATAGTGGACAAAGCATATGAAAAAGCAGCTCGTAACATAAGAATCTTAGGTGGCAAACATATAGTAAGAAAGAATAGATTCATTCTATGAGTCAAATAACTGCGCATTAAAACAATAGAAACAATTTTTCTATCAAAGCATATGGGAATAGTTTTTTTTTAAATTATAATATCCAGATTGGGAAGGGGTGTTTCCTCATTTTTATTGAGTGCCGCTGAGAGAGTAAATCAGGAAACATTTCTTGGGGACATTTGGCAATTTATCAAAGCCTTAAAATCTATTATCCTTTGACTTGATAATTCTGCTACTAGGAATTTGTCCTTAGGAAATGACTGAACAAGTAGGCATATGTACAGAAATGCTCATCACAGGTTTGGTTTATAAGATAGAACTATTGGGAGAAAATCTAAATATTCGATGTTAGGGCACTGGCTGAATAACCATACATCTGTTTAATGGAATAACCATTAAAAGTGATGATGAAGATATTATGGATTTGCCAGTATGCAAAGACATTTATGATTTATTAAGTGAACTAAACAACCTATAAAGTATAGACATATACACAAATATTTTATATTATGTGTATGTATACATTTTTTAAGAATATACACAAAAAATTAACAGTTTAGCATGAGTTATTTCTCTGGATGTGAGTTTGATTTTTCATTTTTATTCACCTGTGTTTTCTAATTTTCCAACAATAATCTGATTTTCTTCCAAAGCAGCAATAGTAAAGAAGGTGGGATAAATGAACAGAAGATCTAATTGGCGAAACAGTTTTTGGAAATGAAACCTTTTATTCTGCGAATAAGAAACACTTCTGCGGTGTTCCTTAAAGTGTGGTCTAAGCATCGTCTGTATCAGAACAATTCAGAGGCTTTCTTAGAAGTGCAGATTCCAGAGCCCAAATGTGAGGTATAAAATGGATCCCTGGGACAGTGCCCAGGAATCTACCAATTTAATAAGCCAAGCGCCCAGGTGCTTTCTATGTATTGGGAGGGCTGAGAACTATTGGCCACAGAAATTACCTGGATCCTTTACATTTCAGAGTTACTGAATGATGGTCAGTCATATTGAGTGATAACTCTGTGCTAAGTAGCTTCTAGTAGCTTCCTTATCAGTGCAGTGACTGTTGGGTGTCCATTAAGGTGTTAAGGGATGCAGCTCAAGGCATTTTTGATGCAAGGAGAAAAGCCATTTCAGTTTGCACTCTTTCCTTTCTCTCCCCAGAGCATCCCCTTTCATGATTTGTAGGCCACAGAAATTATCCTGGTCTCTAAGTCTCTTTGCATGTGAATGCCCCAGGGCACTGTCAATGGACAACAAAGTAGACATTATTCTTAGAAAATGAGCTCCAAGAGTTGGAGAGAAAGAGCCCACTCAGGAACTTGCCAAGGAAGCAACACCGGAGTAGAACGAATAGAGAGGCGTTCGAAAACTTAGCTCTCACAAGGCTGAGGTTGAGTTGGAGTGGATTGAGGAAAAGAGGAGAAAGCGTTCTTTTTTAAGCTAGCCAGTTTTCCAGGAGTGTGAGATGCCAAAACTAAGTTTTCCATAAGTTTCAGCACAAGCTCCGCATCTGTCAGCCCTCCAGACTCTGATGATAAAATGATACGCAAAGAGTGTGGTTGCTCCCAAATACCACAGTGAGTACGTCAGTCCCCGTCTGGCATATAATTGCTTTCCTAAATTACCAGCAGGTGGTGCAAGAGTTTCCAAGTCAGTGAACTTCCCCTTCACATGGCTTCTGCTCTGGGAAGTCTGGCAGTAGCCCACCCCTCCTTCTTGAGTTCCTCTCATGATCCTTACATGGCTCCTCTGTGCTCCAATAATCACAAGGGATCGGGAAGCGTCTTTAAAACGCATTTTGTACCTTTTAAAATGTGTTAAATATAAATGTAGAATCAAAGAAACATGCATTAATTATAGAACCGTGTTAAGGAATAGAGAAAAAAAAATCCCATTGCTAGCAAACCCAGCGGAAACACAAGCCTTCCCCTGTTAGCAAAAGAGGAATGGGGAAAATTAGCAGAAACCTTTAGGATTTAATGCCCTTTACCTCCTACTAAGAAGACTATGAATATGGATTTGGGAAAAGGGATTGTTGGTGGGGAAGGGATTAAATTAGCTTAACCGGAAAAATCGAAAGGAATGAGAGGATATAAAATTGGCCACATCCTGAATGGCATTGGTAGCTTCACTGGTTATATAAGAAGTGAGGAAGAATCTCTAATTGGGAATTCCCAGAATGTTGTTTTGGAATATTTCAGGCCAAGGAGGAGTGGGGAAAGTCTGTTTTAAGAAAACACCAGGCAGTCAGAAGGAAGTTCAGCAGGGTTTCCAGACCTGGCTAAGGAAGAGCTGGAAGCAAAGGGGACTAAGGCTTGAGTTTACTTGAAGTGGAATGGAAAACTACATCTCTAGTTGAGAGTGAAACTCTGACAAGGTCTCAAGACAGGGATGCTATGGGGTTCTCGATTTCAGGCATCTATAGCAAAGTGGTAGCAAATTTGGGACTGGGAGTGTTCACACGTCACATGCAAGAATTCAGATGGAGAGACAGATTGCATCATCAAATAGACATGGTATTAATGCAGTTGTGAGTATTTGTATATCTTTGATTAAAGCTTGGAAATGACACTACGGTCTTGCACAAATAGAACTCCAAAGGAAAAAGAAGGAAAATGATAGGCTCTGACACATGAGGCAGAATTTAGTCCAGGCTGAATGGATTGCTTTTTTTAAAGATCATCCCCTTTTCTAAGGAACTTTTTCACAGACCCTTTCCAGGCCTGCCTTACTGTCTCTAAAATTGCTAACTACTCTAGAGAACCAATCTAGAAACACCATGACCAAGACCTTGATATATTCAGTGACTTTGGGCAACCTATTTAAACACTATGGGCCATTACGTTAAGTCCACAAATGTAGAGCCAACTCGCAGTGAAAAGTGTGATGTTACTCTGGAAACAATAATGGGAAGATATATACCATATACAAATATGGGGTGGGGAGGAAGGGAGGACATGGAATCAATTCTATTGCACTCAACTACATTTGCTGAAATCATATACATAAATGTGTTCTAAAATGCAGCTGAAACATGGATTGCTGCTTGAGATTAGGGCTTGTTATGACAATTCAGGATACAGTGATTGTCACTAAAAGATGACTGCGGGCACATAATGAAGTAAAAAGTGCTAGTTGATAGGTAGGTGCAGGTGACGTATGACAGCTAATGAAACAATATAATGTGTAATTGAAAAATGTACTGCCTTGGTTACTGTGAATTTTATTGCCGTCCATAATAAAGGGACCAAGATTGTACATCAACGATTAATCCTCCAACATGTGTCAATTCCTGCATAAATATAGTGAAAGAGGTAGGAGCCCAGTACAGTGTTGAAAAACATATGCTAAGACAAGTGTTAGGCAAAAGCAGAGTAAAAGGCCACATTCTCTACAAAATGGCTCAATTGTCCTCTCCCCTCCCTCCATTTTAGAGCATCTCTCTAGTATCATCTGACATTTTTACCATATTTCTTGGAGAAAGTGGTATTTCTCCTCCTCATAAGGCTGAATATTGAGAATATTTCTCTTCCATAACACATATCAGCATCTAACAAATTTTATGTTTTACTTATTTCATTTTCTGTCTCTTCCTACTCTAATGTAAACTATGAGAGGCAAAGATCTTTACCTTTTTTTTTTCTTGCTGCTGCGTCTCTAGTGCTGAAACGAGTGAGGGATATATAGTAGGTACTCAATAAATGATTTCACATCTTCCTATACCTCTCAGGATCCTTAGACCTTCCCTCTTCCTAGAGATAAACCTAGAAATTTATATTATAAAGATAATAATTTTCCATCAAAGCTACTGTTGTAAATTCCTTTTCCTTTTTTTCCTGCCAGAAACCCCAAATAAGTCTGCTCTTGGCCAACATCCCCATCCACACCACATAAGCTATTTTTTATCCATTGCCCCTCAATCAAAGACTTTTTCAAATTTTACTTCCAAGTTCAAGGGGTCTTTTAATAGCCAATACCCTATGCGACTAATGTGCCACAGTTAGCCTGTTGAGGACTCTCTTCCTCTTGAAGTTTCCTTTCTCTTTTGTCTTCTATGACACTGCATACTCTGGTTTCTGTTCTTATTTATTCAAAGGATATATTTCTGTCTGCATAAGATACCTATTTTGTAACAAATGACACCAAAATTTAACAGATTAAAACAACAATGTTTATTATCTCATAGTGTCTATGGCTCAGCATTTGAGGCATGATTTTGCTGGTCCTCTGCGACATGATCTCTACACTCTACCAACAAACTCAAAACCAACACTCTACAAGACTGCAATCAAGATGCTTAAGGATACACAGTAACAGATAGATAGGAAAAATAAGTTCTAGTGTCCTATATCAATGTAGAATGACGATAGTTAACAATGTAGAGTTTCAAATAGCCAGAACTTGGATATTGAGCTGGGCCCAGTGGCTCATGCCTGTAATCCCAGAACTTTGGGAGACTGAGACAGGCAGATTACTTGAAGTCAGGACGTCAAGACCAGCCTGGCCAACATGGTGAAAACCCGTCTCTACTAAAAATACAAAAATTAGCTGGATGTGTTGGCACATTCCTGTAATCCCAGCTACTCAGGAGGCCGAGGCAGGAGAATCACTTGAACCCAGGAGGCAGAGGTTGCAGTTAGCCGAGATCATGCCACTGCACTCCAGCCTCTGGGAGAGAGTGAGACTCTGTCTCAAACAAACAAACAAACAAACAAACAAACAAAGAGGATATTGAATTTTTCCATCACAAAAAAATGATGAACATTTGAGATGATGGATACACTAATTACCCTGATCTGATCTGATCATATAAATTATATGTATAGAGACGTCACTATGTATACTATGAATATATACAATTATTATTGGTCAATTAAAAATTTTAAAAAAAATTTAACTCAAAGTTTTAAAAAGGATATTGGCCCAGGATCTGTGGCATTATCTGAAAGCTTAATTAGGGACGGATCTGCTTCCAAACTCACTCATGTGGTTGTTGGGATAATTGAATTCTCCAGGACCTGTTGGACAGCAGTCTCAGTTCCTCTCTGGCTGCTGGCTGGGGGCTGCCCTCTGTTCTTTGCCAAGTGTCCCTCTCCATCATGACAATAATGTGAGAAGAGGCAGAGAGAGTGAATACCAGAAAAACGGAAGACACAATCTCTTATGACCTATTCCTGGAAGTGAGATTTTCTCATTTTTGCTGTTTCTATCAACTAGAAACAAGCCACTACTATGTCCTGCCTGCATGCAAAGGAAGGAGATGACAGGAAGGTGTGAAAACCAGGAGACAGGAATTCTTGAGAGCCTTTTAGGATATTGAGTTCCACAGTCACCTTCATTGACTTCTTTCTGTGCTTCTACTCCATCAAATGGACAGTCTTCAACGTTCTGTCCTCACTTCTCTTTATTCTAAAAATACTTCCCTGTTTCTGGCAAATACTCATTAATACCATAAATACTCATGCCATAAAGCTTTATCACTTTTGTGTAATGATTTATATTCATCCTGTTCAACTCAGATGTCCCATAGTCACCTTAAACTCAGTTTATATAAAATCACATGTATTACTTTGACCTTTACTTTTCTTCATGATTATTATGATTCTTTCACCTACCTGAAAATCAGTTTTTGTGTGTGAATATATCATAGTCTTAAAAAAAAAAAACAACACTTTATTGAGTTTATTGAGCTTCCATTGACATGTAAAAAGCTACCTACAATATATATAATTCAATGAATCAAATATAATGTGTACAATTTGATGTGTTTGGGAATAAATATATATCCGTGAAACCATCATCACCATCAAGTCCATAAACATATCTATCTGGGATTCTTAACAGCCCTTTTAAATTTTTCTGCCTTCATATTATATATCTAATACACCCCCAAACCCTATTGGTTCCTCCTATGTTACATCTCTCACATTTGTTACTTATTCTTCATCTTTACCCCAGTTTGGGCTACAGTGACTTTATCTCCAGGATCTCATAATAACCATGTGGTGCTTTCCAAATTTCTACCAACAAAATGTGCTCTGTGCAGCCATCCTAAAACACTGCTCTCATGGTGCTACTGTATTCCTCGAAGCTTTTTATTTTATTTTAAAACAAATGTAGCTTTTGAAATTTTTTGAAATAATTTTAGACTTACAGAAAACTTGCAAGAATTTTACAAAAAATTCCTGTATAACCTTCACCTAGACTTCCTAAACATTAACATGTTGTCAATTTCTTTTATCATTCTATCTCTATATATCCACGTTTCCTCCCGAATTTTAAATGTTCTTGAATTTAATTCCAAATAAAAGGAAACTTCTCATCTTGGCATTCAAGGCCTTATGTATCTGGTCCCAGACTTAATACCAAGAAGTACACTATGCCTAACTGACCTGGTTTCTGTCTCCTTAACAGTCCTTGAACATTCCCATTTTTATTATGCTTTGTGCCACTTACTTTGCAGGAAATGTCTTACTTATACATATTTCTACCTAGCAAAACCTTTTTCATCTTTTAACATCTGATTCAAAAGGTCACTTCTTTATGAAACTTGGAGGCCAGAAGTGATATCTTCCATCTCTGAACTTCTGTAACATTTTGTTTTTTACCATACCTTCTTTTCTTGTGATTATTTGTGCAAATGTAAAGTATTTTGTAACCTTGATTTATTTATAGCCCTTATTATATACACCATCATTATGCTGACATACCCTGGTACTTTTCATTCACTTAGGCCTGGTTAAAGGAGAAAGATTTTTAAAAGGTTGTTTTCTTGGAATTAAAATATATAACTAACTAAGAATGAGGTTATATGAAATCAACCTAAGGGTAACAGATGGCCTATATGACTGGACCATACTTTGAAGATACTAGCATATATAAAGGAAAATATGTCACTCAGAATGGAAGCTGTTCTTGTTAGACATACAGTGTGAGAGACAGTCTGAAGCAATTATTGGCAGTATCTAAACAAGCACTGTCCTGGGTGTGTGGGTAGACCTAAGTTCTCAGCACCAGAGGACACTGTAACAGCTTACTACACACTGTGCACTTGGCTAAGGGCTTTTTAATCCCAGCCTGATTGACTTATCACCTTAACCACATAAAAAACAAAAAATAACATACAGTTGTTCCCCATCTTAAAAGTAAGGAGCTTAGAAAGTTGTAGCCGTTTATTAAGAATTCTCTATTCTGTGGAGGCATGAACATGAACTGGTTTTATTTTCCCAAACATAATTCTGAAAGGTAGCAAGTATTTTTATGATATATCAATAAGATTCTAAACCTTGCTGGTTAATTTTACTTATTAAAATTGCCCAGTTCAGGCTGAAATAATAGTTTCATACCAGATTCAGAAATCTCCCCCTCTCTACCATAAACCAAACTGTATGAGTTTAATGATGGGTTATATCTGCATGTTTATTTGTGTACATTTGTGGGGCGGGGTTGAGGGGTGGTTGGGGTTTCCTCCTTTTTTATGTCTTCCACTCTTCATTCTTCTAAGTTCTGTCTCCTTTGTTGTTGGGCACAGTGAAGAGAGAATTTTTTTTTAATTTCTCACTTTTTTTGTTTCATATTTGAAGGGAAATGGCTAGCAGCTGATTGCTCACATGGAGGGCACACTGTTAATTCACTATAGCCTGGTAGGATTTGTTCCTCACAATTATTTGTACTGTTTGATTAAGAGTGTGAGATACTGGACTCCTCACTTTTTAATCTCTAAATAATTCAAGGACAACAGGAAACCACCCTCTCAACGTTGTTAAAATGATGTGCCCAAGATCTCATAGTTATTAGGTAAGGGGGCAAGAATTTGTCTGAGTGTATAGTACTATACTACTACTAAATATTCAAGTTAATATACTCCCCTAGTTATGATATCCTGCACATCTGCATAACTGCACATCTTCTCGTTGTGGTGGTTCCTTTTTAGATCTGCCTCTAGGAAAAGGATGAGTCATTCAAGCCACTAGAAATACGCTGATTTTTGTGACAGCTATTATTCTCATTGAAAACCGATCACTCTGGTTTCTTTATCAGACTGTGAGCTTGGTTGATGCAACCCTGTCCCCAAGAGATGGATTCATTCTTTCTGTGTTGATAATGTAAACCTTTAAAACTTATAAGGCTGAACAACAGATTCTAGAACTGTGGTGACCTTCCAAAGTCAGAGAAGCACATTGTGCCGCTTCATTGTGGTACCACTTACAAAGCCAGCAAGCAAACAAACAAATTATCCAGCATCATCAATATCTCAAGCCTTCCACAATTAAGATCAATAATTGTGTAGGTTTACCAGGATATGATTGACAATTAAAATGAAAACATCTTTTAATTGAAATAAAATGTATTTTACGTAACATATATGTGTCTGAGAAGGTCAAAGTCTACTTTAGGTTTCTTTTTTAAAAAAACAAAATTAACTTAATACTTAAAGGAATAGAATGTTTTCTGTGATGTAAATATTTTTATTAATTTATTTGTAGATTACTTTTAATTATCAAGGTCTACTTATAATAAAAAATACATTCATTCATCCTGCTAGGTGGCAGTCATCTCTAGTCTTTCATTAAGACAGTATTAAATGTCAGCATACAGAGACATCAAGTTGGAGACAAACTTCTTGATACACATTATATACATATTTTTAAGCAAATCATGTCACAAAAAAATGCTCAGATTGTCATTAACTATTTGATAAGTACAATATATTACTGTAATTTATTAAAACCCAGGTTTACACTTCATGATTCTGGCCAAAATAGAGTAAGCCCATTATACCTATCACTCCCACTGATTTCAACTAAAAACTGGACAATATTTAAAAGGCAACCATCTGCAAACTCTGAGAAGTTAGCAATAGCAGACAAACTAGAGAGACAGCCAAACTTGAAGAAAGACCATAATAGAGATAAATACTTTGACCTGAACATGAGGCAGTAAAACCTCTAAGGAGAAAAGAGCTCCCTGATAGCTAGAGAGTATTAAGAGAAATCTCAGAAAGAAGAAAGCTGGAGATGACCCCCACTTTATATATGAACTGACACAAGTCCTGGGCTAACCCCTAAGCTGTGTATGTGAGTAATAGGCATTAATATGAACCAGCATAGTAAAGGCTTTGGGAATTGAACTGTAATATAAACCACCACCCAAGTCCCAGAATTACCTCTGAGAGATACATGTGCAAAAAAGTCAAAGCAATATAATAAAGACTTCGAAATCATAGCTGACATTGGAAATACCACACACAGAAGGCAAGAAATAATTCTTTAGTCTTAACCTAACTGGGTTGATGGCTTGATAAATTAAAAATTTGACATTCAACAGAAGGTTTTAATGGCACCCAGTCTCTCAAGGTAATATTTAAAATATCCAGGATATAACCAAAAATTACTAGAAGAATAAATAACCAGAAAAATATGACAAAGTCTCAAAAGAAAGATAAATAATAAGACTTAAAGGAATAGAAATAGACAAATTCACAAATATACTTGGAGACTTTAGCACTCTTCTTTGAATTATCAACAAATAAGTAGATAGGAGACCAGCATGGATATATAAGATCTGAACAACACTATCAAATAATTTGATGTAATTGACATTTATTGAACGCTATATCTAGCAACAGCTGAATGCATATTCTTATTAAATCCACCTAAACAAGAACCTAGATGAGCTATATCATGGCTTTTATAGCAAACTATAACACATTTAAAAAATAGAAATAATACAAAATATCTTATTTGATCATAGTAGAAATCAAAACTAAAAAGATATCTGGAAAGTACCGAAATATTTGCAAACTAAATGGCATACTTCTAAATAGACACAGGTTAAAGAAAAAGTCTGAAGTAGACGATAAAATATTTTGAACTGAATGAAATTGATGAGAATGGAGATAAATTTGCAGAATGAAGCTAAAATAGTGCCTAGAGGAAAATTTATAGCATTAAATGTTTATGCTAGACATATAGAATGGTCTCAAACTAATGATCTAAGTCTTCAACTTAAGAAGCTAGAAAAAGAGAAACAAATTAAAGCACAAGAAAAAAGGAACAATAAAAAATAACTGAAATTAATGAAATAGAAAAAGAAATAGAGAAAATAAATGAAACCAAATCTGGTTCCTTGAAATGATCAATAGAATTCAAAAATATCTGGACGGACTGACCAAGAAAAAAGTGAGGATATACTTTTTTTCAATATCAAGCATAAAAGGGGGATTTCATTTCAGACCCTCAGAAATAAAATAGAAGGAAATCTGAAATAATAAGAAAATAATAAAAACATTTGTATGCCTATACATTTGGCAACTTAAATGAAATGGACCAATTAGTTAAAAAGATGGAAACTACAAAATTTATTCAAGAAGAAATAGATAACTTGAATAGCTTTATATGAGTTAAAGAACATTATTCATAATTAAAACTTTGCAGCAAAAAAGTCTAGGACCAAATTGCTTCACTGATGAAGTCTGCCAAAATTTTAAGAAATATGTAAACTTTATACAATTTGTTTTTCAGAAAATAGAAAAGGAAATATTTTGTCATTTTGTCATAAAAAAGCCAGATAAATGTAATACAAGAAACAAGAAATTGAAAACCAATATCCCTCTTACACATGGACATACAAATATTCAACAAAATATTAGCCAAAAAATACAGCAGTACCTGAAATAATATTAATACATCATGACTTAATAGGATCTATTTCACTAATGAAAGACTGGTTCAACATTCAAAAGCTAACCAATATAATCCGTCATAATAACAGACAAAAATGATAATTAAAATAGATAAAGAAAAATCATTTGACAAAATTTAGCATCTAATTTCCTCATAACAAATGATATTGAGCATTTTTATATGATTATTTGACATCTGTATCTCTTCCTCGGTGAGATATCTCTTCAGATATTTTGCCCATTTTTTGGGGGGGTTATTTTCTTATTGTTAAGAGTTCTTTGTGTATTGTGAATACAACTGCCTTATCAAATATTTGTTTTGTAAATATTTTCTCCCAGATTGTGACTTGTCTTTTTGTTCTCTTAAAAATGTAATTTTCAGAGCAAAACATTCGAAAGGTGCAATTTATCATTTTTTTTCTTTCATAGATTATGCTTTTGGTGTTGTTCCTAAAAACTCATTGCCAAACCTAAAGTCACATAGATTACCTCCTACATTTTTTTCTAGAGATTTTACAGTATTGTGTCTTATATTAAGGTTTATGACTGATTTTGAGCTAACTTTTATGAAAGGTGTGAGGTCTGTGTCTAGATTTTTTTCTTTTGCATATGGGCATCAAATTGTTCTAGCAACATTTATTGAAAAGACTATCATCTCTTCATTGAATTGCCAGTTTTCCTTTATCAAAGATATTTGTGTTGGTCTATGTATGAGCTTTCTATCCTGTTCCATTGATTTTGCCTATTATTTTGCTAATCTTAGCCTGTCTTGATTACTGCAATTTTTTATTGTTTCAAGTTGCGTATTGTTACTCATTCAACGGTGTTCTTCTTCAGTATTATGTTGGCTATTTTGATATTTTACCTTTCCATAAAAATTTTAGAGTAACTTTGTTGATACCCTCAAAATATCTTGTTGAGATTTTCATTGGGACTGTAAGTTCTGAAGGAGCAGGGAAACAAAAGGACCAACACTCAGTGAGCATTTACCATGTACCAGGAACTTGACATTGCCTAATCTCATTCAATCATCACAAAATATTCTTATGCTACAAGTATTTCCCCCCATTTTACAGAAGAGGCAACTAAAGCTCAGGGAGAGTAAGTAATTTGCCCAAGTTCACTAAGCTAGTAAATGATATTGCTTTGCTTGTTCCTCTTTCAAAATCCATACCACTTCCGTAATAACCTACTACCTCCCAGACTATTTATCTCACTATCAGCAATGCTTAGTTTATTTCTTCTCACAATGAAGGCACTCAGAATGTGCCTCTGATAGAATTTAGGGGGAAAAAAACTTACATGAAACAAAGTTCATTAATCTGACAGAATATAGAGGAAAACACTTACATGAAATAAGTTTCATTAATCTGATAGAACTTAGAGGAAAAAACTTACATGAAATAAATTTTATTAATCTTTGACTCTAGTGACATTAACAGATAAATAGTTTCCTGTGTGGAGCTCACTTCCTTCATGTAACCACTAAATTCAGAACTCCATCATTCACTGATCCATTTAACAAATAGATATTAAGCATCTCATAAGTACCAGTTTTTTAGGCACTAGGAACACAGTGGTGAGCAGGGGGACATCAAACACATTCACACTCACAGAGTCTCTGACTTCTAGACAGAGATTATTGGTCACATTTGTGTCTTCCCTAAAGATATCCTGGGCATGGGTGTCAACCTTGACATCACCAAGCAACTTGGCTTCTCAGTCATTTGTTTATATTTCTAATTGTCCTCCTGACAAAACAATAGGGGGTAAATAATATACTCAACTCTCTTTGATCCTCACAAGTGAATAATAATGATTGAGTACCCCTTCCCAGAAGAAGGAACAGAATTTACTAATGATTTCTTGTTTAAGAGTTACAATGCTTAGAACAAACATTTGCTCCTTATAAGAAATTTACATGTTGTCTAGTTAGAATGGTTTAAAATGATATTAAAATATTCATTATTCTGTAACACATACCGAAGACCCTGGAACTTAAACTTAACTGAAAATGCACATGTAAGTCAGACCACAGTCTCTTGAAGTTTCTATGGCAAGTTTGTCAAAGTTGGAGAGTGTCACTTACTCCCAGCTGTTTCTAAGGTTCACAGCTTCCACCCCCTCAATACGTTGTCTGAGATTCTTGGCTGAGAGAGCTGTTTGTTTCTTTATTTAGCAAAATCTAGCACAGCTCTGCTTAGCAGAGGGACAAACTGGAATTTGCAAGTTTCTGCATTATCACCCAGGCAATTGCCAACTTGTCACAGGTGTACAGCATGAGAACAATGGGAAGAAGACAGCCGGGGACTGCTATGGACCTGAATGCAGGGGGCTCCATCTGCAATGTCCCACGCACCTTACTGCATCTCACAGGGGAATCCACTTTTCGTGATAGGCAGAGGTGGGGAGTGCAGGTCCTACTTGCGGCTTACAAGACATTTTAAGTCGGCAATTATAAGCAGAGCTGTTAACAGAACGCTGCTTGATTATTATGTTATGAAGAAAAGAAAAGAATGGCAAGGGTAACTTGAAAAAATAAATGAAGTGCAGTGAGTTTTCCGAGAAGCAGAGAATGAAACTGAGAGATTCTTGTTATTTTTAAAAGCTGCTGAGTTGGTCTCACTTCTTTGCTAAGTCTCTCAAGTATTTTTTTTTCCTCAAAAGGCTTGAATAAATACCTGCCCTGCACTGAAGGGGAAATGCAGAGGTTCAGCTTACCGACAAGTGGACAGGTGGCGAAACAGGTATGGGCATTTCTGTTTCAGGTCAGCTTTTCATGGGACTTAATTGAATAATATCACCTCTCACTTTTTCCCTTTTTCCCCCTCATTGATCAAGCTGCTTTTGAGAAAAGTGATACTTTGCATATCTGGCTAAGTACTGTTAACAGCCTCTGCCTGCGGTTTGTTAAAATTAAAAAAAAAAAAAAAAAAAAAAAAAAGTGTGATCTTGCCGGAGAAGTAATTTGCTTCTCTCCAACCAATGATGGCTTGTACTTTATGCAAATTGGTATCTAGGGACAACAAATCCCATTTAATACATATGCATAGTTCATAAAAAAACGACGTGAGAGAAAAGAGGAAAAAAGATAAAGCAACGAGTCAGCAAAAGAACAGGTTCCGAGGAAATTTATTGTCCCAAATTGGACATTTGTAACAGATGATGTGAACAAGTGTTAACTTTGTTTTCAGCAGCTCTTCATGTACATTCACTAGACATCACACAGATTATGTTTTAAGGATCTGAACTGTAATAAAAAAAAGTGTCTATGGGCTTTAGAGTGTTGTGTTCCATATGGTTAGGGAAGTACGGAGTTATTGCGACAAGCATCTTGTGAAGCTCATTACGCGCGGTGGTGTTAGATGCGAATTGCCGCGCATAGCTATAGGGTACGTACATGACATCCCACAGTCAGCAGATAGCAACTGGAAATGAAAGATATGAAGGCACAGAGTACAGCTTCAGGGAACATGTTAGACAAAACATCTGCTGGTATCAGAACACTGCATTATCAGATCATTGTGGCCATGAATTTTTTATAGACACTTTTTTCCCCCAAACCGCAACTTTGAAAGTGACATTTTGTGCAAAAAGTTTTTGATTGAAGTGTGATGTCAGGAGGAAGTCCAGTGCTGTAAGTCGTTGTATAGACAGCCGACACTGGCAGCTCAAGAAAACTCCTTTTTGCAAAGTGGGGCAACCTCGACTAGGAGAATTTATGCTGCAGTGCATGCACATGGGAATGCATAAGGAAGAAAGTTTTCTAAGCAAAAAACATGACTGAGATGCTTTGGTCTTTCTATGCCACTCGACATGTGGACAGGTTCATATTCTAGACATTCACTTAACACTTCCTTTCTTCATGTGGAGAAAGGGTTGGTCAGGAGCTCCAATTAAGCAAGGAGGCAATATTCCATCAACTCATCTCTTGCACTCTGCTTGTTAATGGCAGCATTTCTCTTGTGCCACTTCTGCCTGAGAGTGGCTCTTATAAGAGATTCCTTCATTGCAGGAAACATGCATGGATGAAAAACTAGTTGAGTTCTGATTATTGGGAGTATACATTAGCAGCCCCACAGTCCTTTAGAGAGGGTGGCAGGAAGGCCTGAAGCGAGGGAAGCAGTAAGGAGATGGTTCTCACCTTGAGAAAAGTTAAAGGTCCTGATATTTAGGACCCATTACAGGATGTCATATATTTCATCTTGGAAGATAATAAAGCACATCTAAAAGCATTATGACTTATGGAAGAATCCGGCTATCGATAGCCACCTTTCTGTTAGTGTGGTTCTGAGAAATGGAATGATTTCACTGATTCTGACCACCCAGGCCATGGGGTATAGGGATAAACATATTTCTCTTAAAAGAGCTAATGTGAAAGAAGAGTAGAGGAAAAAGAGCTCAAAGACAAGTGGCAGGTCCTTGAAATGGATTCTGGAGAACTAGAGGAAGTGCTTTTCTCTACAATGCAACCAGTATTCAATTTAACGTTCTTTTCAATAAACCACTGGATTCCTCTTTTAGCCCATTAGAAAAGTGACACACTGGATGAGATCAGAGTGTGAGGCTCAGAAACTCTCAAGAGTCAGACTATATTTACTCATGGCAGCAGATATGCAGGAACATCTGTACAATAATTGGCAATAGTTCCAGCCATGAAAGAGAAAAGTAAAAGGTACTCATGAATGAGTAAGCACCAACTACAGAGCTCTGTACTTCACAGCTCTAAGCTGTTCTCTTACCATTCTACACAGTTTTCCCATTTTCTTTTTGTCTTATTTTCATCTTTCTTCTTTATTTTCTTTTAAGAAAAGCAAAGTGAGGAAGAGGGTTGCTTTTCATTTTTCATAATTCCTTTTTTCTACTGCTTTGTAGAAGAGATACAAATATAGAGAAATACCTTCTGGGAAAAGGATATATTCTCTATTATTCTCCCTGAAAGTTTTGATGAGCCATGAACTGTACACAGAAAGATGCGAAAACTCATTCATTCAATAAATATTTACTGAGCATCTATTACTGCAAGTGGCCCTTGTGCCAAGAACAACTACAATTTTCAATAACTGTATTTATTTATTTTTAATATTATTTTTGAGAAAAGGTCTTTCTCTGTTGCCCAGGTTGGTGTGCAGTGGCACAATCATGGCTCACTGCAACCTTGACCACCAGGCTCAAGTGATCCTCTCACCTCAGCCTCCTGGAAAGCTGGGACCACAGGTGTGCACCACCACACCCAGGTAATTTTTTTATTATTTGTAGAGTTGAGGTCTCACTATGTTGCCCAAGCTAGTCAGGAACTCCCATACTCAAGCAATCCTACTGCCTCAGCCTCCCAGAGTGTTGGGATTATAGGTATGAGCCAGTGCATCCAGCCTTTATTTATTTTTGAAAAATATTATAGATAAAAAATTAATAAATAATACTCAGAGCCAAACATTAAGTAAAAGAGGGGAAAGAGAGAGTTAGGTAACCTTCAGCCTGGTTTTGTCTTGAGAACATTTGCTGTTCCAAGTAAATTTAGCTTGGTTTTTCTTGATCTCTGAGGGTATGGAAAAGACAAAGTCTAGGGATCATCCTAAGTGGGAAATATAGATGGAGATATCCCTACATTTAGTACCTCCAAAGACCACATGCTCAGTGTCACATAAAACACAAGTAAGCATGTCCCAGTCATCAGCCAATCACCAGTACACACACACACAATAAGCCAACAACACAATAAGACAAAGACTTCAGAAAACATATTTATCAGGTATAAAAGAAATATGTCTAATGAGTGCTAAGAAGGTGAATAAGGGACAAATTATAAAAAATAGTTAAAGGTTATAAAAATGTAAAAGCATATTTGAGTAAGAAAAAATAGAGCTTATAGAAATAACATATAACTCATTGGATGGATTTAACAGTTGAATACAAATAAAGACAGAAATTTTGTGAGCTGGAAGATATGTCCGAAGGGAAGCAAAGAGATGCAAAATGTTTTAAAAGTTAAATCATGATGGGGAATAAAAAAGTTTTAATATATGCCTAATTAAGTCTCATAAACAAGACAGAAGGGAGCTGTGGTAGTATTTGGCAGCATAGCGGTTTAGAATTTTCTAAAATTTATTATTTTTAATACCAATTCCCAGACTTATGAAGCTAAATGAATCCTAACCAGCAAAATAAATATCTAGAACACAAAACTGCAGACCATAAAAGACATAAATGTATTAAAGCACCAAGACAAAAATGAGAACCTTCAATGTTTGATGAACTTCCAGCTAACTTCTCAACAGCAATTATGAAAGCCACACACTGTGGTAATGTCTTTAATGTGCTCAGAGAAAATAACTGTCTACTGAGACTGCATGTTAATCAAAGTGATTTTCAAGAGAGTGGGTAAGGTAGTGGTATTTGTTGATACAAAATTAATAGTTCACTATCAACAGATCCTCTTTGAATGAACTTTTAAAAAATGAAATTCACAAAAAAAAATGCAAGTGATCCCAGATGTTAGCTTTGAGTAACAGGAATATATTAGGAGCAAAGAAAATGATAATATGTGGATAAATTTAAATAAACTTTGGTTGCATAAAATCATAGTGATAAATTCTTCTTGAGCTTAAAAAACAAATAGAAAAAATAATAAAAGACACAAAAAGGGTAAAACGAGGGAGTTGTTTTTATTAAGATAGTCTAGGCCAGGTATGGTGGCTCATGCCTGAAGTCTGAGCACTTTGGGAGCCCAAGATGGGCCGATTGCTTGAGTCTAGGACTTCAAGACCAACCCGGGCAACAAGACAAAACCTTGTCTCTACAAAAAAAAAATACAAAAATTAGCTGGGTGTATTGGTATGTGCCTGTAGTCCCAGCTACCTGGGAGGCTGAGGTAGGAGGATCACCTTAATCCAGGAGGTCAAGTCTGCAGAAAGCTGAGATCTTGCCACTGCACTCCAGCCTGGGTGACAGAGCAAGACCCTGTCTCAAAAAAAAAAAAAAAGAAAAAGAAAAAGAAAAAAAGACAACAATTTATGGAATATTTAGGTTGAAGGGAAATATATCAATTTAAATTTGATAAATAATCTTTGCATGCTAAAATAATTAAGGGAGCCTTTAAGCTAATACAAATAGGTCATAACATTTATTAATAAATAGGTAGGGGAAAATGGAAATAAAAATATGATCAACCATTCCAAACAGAAGCAATAAGAGAGAGGAAATGTGAAACAAAATTTGGGGCAAGTAAGCAGAAATTAAAATGGAGTATGTACATTCATATAAATTACAGTAAATGTAAATGGTCTTTATGATCTAGTTAAAAGATCAAGATTGCCCAACTGAGAGCAAGAGAGAGAGAGACAGGGAGAGAGAGAGAGAGAGAACAGAGACAGAAGGAGAGGGAGAGAGAAAGAGGGAAAACAAGAAGAATAAGGAGGAGGGGAGGAGGCTGGGAAGAAGAGCAGGAGAATAAGAAGAAGAAAAAATACAGGAAGGGAAAGGTAAAAAACAAGAAGAAAAACAAGAGGAAAAAATTTAAAAGATTTAAAAAAAGAGAGAAAAGATAAACCAGGAGATTATTAATCGAAAGAAAGACAGTATATAAGGCAAAATAAATATTATTCTTATGAAAGATAAAGAGGGTCACTATATAATGATAAAATGTTTAAACTTGCATGTACCTAGTAATAGCTTAGAACATGTAGAGTCAAAACTGACCGAACAATGTAGTATAACTTGACAAACTATTATAACAGCATATTTTAAGGCCCCTCACACAGTTATTGATAGAGAAAGAAAACAAAAACATTAAAATTTGAAGTTTTCAAGCAATATAAATAGTATGCATGATGTAATAGGTGTATGTAGACTAAATTCCCTTTCATATATACATATATCCTATTAGTCTTGTCCCTCTGAAGAACCCTAATACAATACACAAATAAACAAATTAGAAAAAGAACACCACTCGCTAAATAAATGGCGAAGGGTGAAAATAACAACAAAACAGTAGAGATTAAGAAACTATGTAACAAAAAAATCCAATAGAGTCATTGACAAATCTTTGCTATTGACAAAGATTGTTTTCTGAAAAGTAAAATGTGAAATTCCTGTAGCAAAATTCATCAAAGAAATGCAGAATAAATTAAAAATATTGGAAATAAATGATCCATAATTCTAGATATTAAATATAGTATGAGTAACTTTGTGTCAGTATACTTGAAAACATAAAATGGTCAACCTTTCAGAAGAAAAAGTAGAACTTTAAATCCAGAATGAGAAAGAAAAAGAAAATCTGTATAGTTTTATTACCTCTAAAGAAACTGAATTATCCTCTGAAAGAAACACCAAACCCAAGTGATGTTAAAATTATGTTCTACCAAACATGCAAGATATAAATAGTCCTAATATCATACACATACATGTATCTCGAAGCTTAGATAAAATGGGAGTAACATGCCACACAATTTGGTGGGCTAGCAAATTCTTAACACTACAACCTGGCAAGGACAACATAAAAAATCAGATTATATCTATAAATCACTCTGGAATAGAGGTGTAAAAATTCCAAACAAAAAATAAAATAAACCTAGCATTGTAATGATTTTTAGATCTACTCACAAATATGCTTATACTGTCTTTTCCTGGGCACATAGTAGGATTTCACTTTTCTACATACTTATGGTTAGATTTTTCCATGTAGTGTTTTGGCCAATAAAATGTAAATAGAAGGGCTGTGTGCCAATTCAAATCAGAGGCTTTCAGAGCCAGAATGCAAGGTCTCGTGTTATTTCTGTCTCCGCAACAGACCCCTGCCACTTCCATATACTCCCCAAACGGTGAAGGTGCCATCAGCCTGAGTTCCTGTCAAAAACTAGATAGAGCAGAGACTCCATCTGACTCACAATTGACATTTAACATTATTGAGAAATAAACCTTTGTTGTTATAAACTACAAAAACATAGAGGTTGTTTGTTATAGCATTAGATCCCAAACCATTCTGCCTGATGCAAGCATTGTATAAAAAATGAATTTACTTTGTGGCCGAAATGAATTTATCACAGAAACATAATTGCTGCTTTACATTGGAAGATCACCACGTTAAGAGTTCAAGAGAAAAAATATATGATCTTCTCAATAAATGAAGATAAAGGTTTGATAAAAATAAAAACGTATTTATATAAAATCTCTCACAAGACTATTGATAAAGACAACTTCCTTCATAAAAGATGTACACCTTTTGAAAGCCTGAAACCTACATCATACTTCATAGTAAATGTTGATAGTATGCTCTTTAAGGTCAATACAAATGGCAAGCATGCTCTTCATGATCATTTATAATTGGCATTGCATAGAAGACCTTAGAGCACTAAGGCAAGAAAAAGAAATACAAAGTGAGGGATTAGAAATAGAGATACAAGGCCGGGTGCGGTGGCTCATGCCTGTAATCCCAGCACTTTGGGAGGCCGAGGCGGATGGATCACGAGGTCAGCAGATCGACACCATCCTGGCTTACACGGTGAAACCCCGTCTCTACTAAAAATACAAAAAATTAGCCAGGCGTGGTGGCAGGCGCCTGTAGTCCCGGCTACCCGGGAGGCTGAGGCAGGAGAATGGCGTGAACCCAGGAGGCGCAGCTTGCAGTGAGCTGAGATTGCGCCACTGCACTCCCGCCTGGGAGACAGAGCGAGACTCCGTCTCAAAAAAAAAAAAAAAAAAAAAATAAGAAATAGAGATAAAAAATGTATTTACTAATGAAAATCATATAATTACCTTGGTAGAAAATCCAAAAGAATCAGTAAGTAAATTAAAATTCATAAGATAGCTTAGGAAGACCTCTGAATGTAAAATCAATTCAAAAACTGACTGCAAATATATTCAACAGAAAAAAATGTGTAAAATGTGATTTTAAAGGAGATACCATTTACAAAAACATCAAATATACCATATATATGGATAAATCTAACAATGTTATGAAGAAAATTATAACTTAATTGGAAAGAATCAAAGAGATCTCAGTAAGTGGAGAGTTATGTCATATTCAAATATAAATATTTATGTTCAAATATAAATATTTATGTTCAAATATTGGGGAAATAATAATTGCAGATTTAAATTCAGTCCACATTGATTTATGGATTCAATGCAACTTATCTAAAATTTAACTCTGTGTTTGTGTCAATGAACAAGCTGTTTCCAAAGTAGGTTAATGCAAAAGTAATTGCAGTTTTTGCTGTTACTTTCCATGGCAAAAACCACAATTACTTTTGCACTAACCTCATACATATGGAGAGCAAAAAGTCAAAAACAGCCAAGATATTGTCAGCTATCAGGAATTATCATAAAGCTGCCTACATGTATATGCTAATGTGATATGTGATTTATTTTCCATTGCAGTTCAATGGGAAATAATAGATTTTTAAATAAATGATGCTAAACGAATCGATTTTCCACATTATAAAAGATATAATTTAGACACCAACCTCACACCACACATAGCAAGACCCTGCCTCTAGAAAATAACAATAATTAAATTAAATTAAATTAGTTTGAATTTAAGACTAAAATGGGAAAGACAAGCTTATAAAAATTTTTTAGAACAATATAAGAGGTAGCAAAGTCATTACCTCAGGGTAGAGGATAAAAAAGTAGAAAGTGCAAACCGTAATCAAAAAGCTTCATAAATTTAATTATACTGAATTAAGAATTTAGATTAATTATAAAGAAACCAGAGAGTGAAAGAAAAGCCTATAAAAATGAAAAAAATACATTTATGACATATGTAACTCAAAAAGGATTATTATGTAGAATAGCAGCTAGATTAGGAATCAGGCCCCTCCCTGAAATACTCCCTGCCCCACAGTGATTCCAATCAAGCATACACAAAACACTTCTTAAAGGGTAGGGGCTTATCTTGACATTCGGGGTTGGTATATCTTGGTTTTGGTGGTTGATAAAGAAAAACTGGGGATTCCTGGACAGAAACAGAATTCTTCCAAGATCCTCTTTGGGTCAGAGAAGCTGAAACAGTGGGTCTATGTGAAGAATCATGCAAAGGAGTCAATTACACAAGAAGCAATGGGAATCTGGGTAGGGCAGCAGAGGAAGAGACAGCCTTTAGGATATGAAGGTGAGTCTACAGCCATACCACCCTGAACGCGCCCGATCTCGTCTGATCTCGGAAGCTAAGCAGGGTCGGGCCTGGTTAGTACTTGCATGGGAGGATATGAAGGTGAAAGCTGACCCTGGCCCATCCTCTTTCACAGGCATCTCCTGCAAGATACGTGCATAGGTCATTAAAGGTCTCACATATGTCATTAAAGTTTATTCCTATGTATTTATCATGCCTGTTGTTATTGTAAACGGAAATTTCATTTTACATTTCTAATAGATTGTAATTTTTACATATGAATATGTACATTGTTTATTGTACCATTTTACTACTGAATTACCTTTGTTTGGGGTATATTTTCACTTGATTCTTTGGTTTATTTAGATGTACAATCATGTTATCTGTAAATTGGAATAGTTTACCTCCTCCTTTTCAATGTTATCTAGTTAATTGGCTTTTTTATTGCTTTTTTCAAGTTTAGTGTTAGTAATTGTGACAAAAATCAGCATTCCTTACTTTTTTTTAATTTCTAAGAGGACACCACTTACATTTGCACAGGAAGAAATAAGTTTTAATTGTTTTAAAGTATTATCAATACATTTCTATTTTAGCAAATTTTTTCAAAAACATTAAATTGTATCAAACATCCTTTGGAGTCTGTGAAGGCAATCATATGAGTTTTATCCTTATGTTTATTTATTTATTTAAAAAAAATTTTTAGACACAGGGTCTCACTCTGTTGCCCAGGCTGGAGTGCAGTGGTGCAATCACAGCTAATTGCAGCCTAGAACTCCTGGGATCCTGGGATCAAGGGATCCTCCTGCCTCAGCCTCCCAAGCAGCTAGGACCACAGGCATCTGCCACAATGCCAGGCTAATTTATTTTAATTTTTTTGTAGACAGGGGGTCACGTGATGCTGCCTGGTATTGAACTCCTGGCCTCAAGTGATCCTCCCGCCTTGGCCTATGGAAGTGCTGGGATTACAGGTGTGAATCACTGCACTTGGCCCTTATGTTTATTTATATAATAAATTATATAACTAGATTTCTTGATATTAACTAACCTGCTTTCCTGGCATAAAAGCCACTTATTTATGAAGTACTATTTTTTACTGTTATTCTGAAATCTGTATGTTGATATTTTATTTAGTATCTATGCATTAATATTCATGAGTGGTTTTGGTCTGTAGTTTTCTTTCTTTATAAAATCATTTTTAGTTTTGGTGTTAATGTTACACTCACTACATATGAATACATAAATAAGAAGAATGTCAACGTATTGGAATTTTCCACTCCTTAAAGTTTCTTGTGAACATGTCTGGACCTAGTGCTTTTGGGATATGGGGCATGGACACATGTTGCACAGGAAAAAAGATAGATTTCATTTTTTGTTTTTACTTTTAAACAGCTTTGTTGAGATAAAATGTACATACCATGAGGTTCACCCACTTAATATGTACAATTCAATGATTTTTAGTGCATTTGCAGAGTTATGCAACCATCACCATAATCGTAATATTTTTAATATGCCCAAAGGAAAACACAAACCAAATAGCACTTACTCTAACTCCCCCATCCCCAGTTCTAGGTGACTACTAATCTCTTTTCTATCTCTGTAGATTTTCCTATTGGGACATTTTTAATAAAAGGTTTCATATAAGGCACGGTGTTTTGTGACTAGCTTCTTTCATAGCATAATGCTTTCATGGTTCATCCATGTTGTAGCATGTATCAATACTTCATTTTTTATATTGCCAAATAATATCCATTGTGTGGATATATCATGTTTTATTTATCCATTCATCAGTCGATGGGCATTTGGGTTGTTTCTACTTTTGGCTATCATGAATAATACTAATGTGAACATTTGTGTACAAGTTTTTCTGTAGACATATGTTTTTATTTTTCTTGGTTATATACCTAGGGCGGTGTAGAGAATTTGAAGAGCTTGGTGGAGGTTCAATGGGAATTTTAGAAGTTAAGATCCTTTGGGGAGAAATTAAGAGATTTAAAAATATTTAATATCAAAAAAATTTTAGAGGATACACAAAAAGATATCAGATGGATTACCTGGATTATATGATAACTCTATATTTAACATTTCAGACACTCGAAAACTGTTCTCCAAAGTAGCTGCACTACCTTATATTTCTTTTAGCAGTGTATATTTCTTTTAGCAATGTATTTCTTTCAGCAAAGTATATAAGGTATATGTTTACCTTATATTTCTTTTAGCAAAGTACCTGCACTACCTTATATTTCTTTTAGCAGTGTATACTTCCAATTTCTCACGTCCTCACCCATACTTGTTATTATTGCTTGTCATTTTGATTGGAGGTTTTGAAGTGGTATCTTGTTATGATTTGCTGTCTACCTAGTGACTAATGGTACTGAGCATCATTTTATGTGTATTCACAATTTGTATATCACCTCTAAAAATATCTATTTAAATATTTTGCCTATTTTTAATTGGATCATTTGTCTTTTTTAACAAATACTTTTTAAGTTCAGGGGTACAAGTGCAGGTTTGTTACATAGGTAAACTTGTGTCATGGGGGTTTGTTTTACAGATTATTTCATTACCCAGGAATTAAGCCTAGTACCCATTAGTTATTTTTCCTGATCTTCTCCCTCCTCCCACCTCCACCCTCCAAAAGGCTCCAGTGTGTGTTGTTTCTCTCTACGTGTCCATGTGTTCTTATCATTTAGCTCCCACTTATAAGTGAGAACGTGGTATTTGTTGATTTGTAAGAGTATTTTATATATTCTGCACACAAGTCCCTTATCAGATACATTATTTGCAAATATTTTCTCAGTACATAGGTTATCTTTTTACTTTCTTTTGAAGTCCTTTAAAGCAAAACATTTTTAATTTTGAGGAAGTTCCATTTGTCAGTCTTCTCTTTTATCACTTGTGCTTTTGGTGGCATATCTAAAAAGTCATTGCCAAACCCAACATACAAAGATTTACTCTCATATTTTCTTCTGAGTTTTATAGCTTTAGCTTTTATATGTAGGTCTATGATCTACTTTGAGTCCATTTTTGTGTATGATGTGATGCAGGGGTCCAAATTCATCTTCTACATGTGGATATTCATTTATCTCAGATATAAGTTTTTGTTAGATGTTGTTAATATTTAAATTATAAGAATGTATTCAGAAATATTTGGATAAATGAGCAGGAAAGAGAACCACCCTATTCACAGAAAATGCCGAGAATAAAATCCTTATTCTGTTGATATTTATAAGATAATAGATATAATCTGGTGATCCAGAAGTAGATTTTATAATTTTTTTCAAATTTCCAAACTATCTATGAAAGGAAGGGTTATCTGGTAATATAATTTTTAAAAAGCACTTACAATATGTCTGTACAATGAAAGAATCTATAGCTATTAAGAAAAATAGCTTGTCTCCACATGCATGAATATGGAAAGATTCCAAAATACATTAGGTAATAAAATTAAGTTACAGAAATGTATTTATATCTTATAAACATTTGTGTAAACACACACACACACACACATATCGACTGCAGGTAAATGTATAGAACATTTCTTGAAGGCTATATCCAAAATGATAGTCAAGAAATTGGCAAAATGTTTGCCCTAGATGGAATAGTGGGTGGTTGGGTGGTCAAAAGAGAGATGGAAACTTACTTTTCACTCAATGCCATTTTCTACCTTGTAAGTTTTGAGCAATGCGTATGTCTTACCTATTTAAAACTCAATAAAACTAATAAAAACAGCTTATTAACTTTACTAAATTTTACTAGAAAATGTCTTTCTCAAGTTGCCTGTAAAATATTGACTGTAGAACTCTAATATATTTCCTATTAAATAATATGACTATACAAATGATTCCACAAAAGTTACCAATCCAAATTCCTTGAACATGCTAACACTGCAGCCAGAACCCACTCGATATGAAACAACATTCAGAAATTACCCAGAAAGAACATATTATATGGTATTCTTCTTAAAGAGAATGTGGCACATTAGCATACATTACATTTGCTTATTCACAAATCTCAGAACATTCAAACAAAAAACTCTCCTTGAATTTTGAGAAAGGTATAACTACATGATACATAAGAAATTTATAGAGGCCAAGGAGTCATAAATCACGTTCTTTATGAAGAAGACATAGATGGGAAGGAGCCAAGATGGCCGAATAGGAACAGCTCCGGTCTACAGCTCCCAGTGTGAGTGACGCAGAAGACGGGTGATTTCTGCATTTCCAACTGAGGTACCGGGTTCATCTCACTGGGGTGTGCAAGACAGTGGGTGCAGGAGAGTGGGTGCAGCACACAGTGTGCAAGCCGAAGCAGGGCAAGGCATCACCTCACCCGAGAAGTGCACGGGGTCAGGGAATTCCCTTCCCTAGTCAAAGAAAGGGGTGACAGATGGCACCTGGAAAATCGGGTCACTCCCACCCTAATACTGCGCTTTCCCAATGGGCTTAAAAAACGGCACACCAGGAGATTATATCCCGCATATGGCTCAGAGGGTCCTACACCCATGGAGTCTCGCTCATTGCTAGCACAGCAGTCTGAGATCAAACTGCAAGGCAGCAGTGAGGCTGGGGGAGGGGCGCCCACCATTGCCGAGACTTGATTAGGTAAACACAGTGGCCCGGAAGTTCAAACTGGGTGGAGCCCACCACAGCTCAAGGAGGCCTGCCTGCCTCTGTAGGCTCCACCTCTGGGGGCAGGGCACAGACAAACAAAAAGACAGCAGTAACCTCTGCAGACTTAAATGTCCCTGTCTGACAGCTTTGAAGACAGTAGTGGTTCTCCCAGCACACAGCTTGAGATCCGAGAACAGGCAGACTGCCTCCTCAAGTGGGTCCCTGAACCCCAAGTAGCCTAACTGGGAGGCATCCCCCAGTAGGGGCGGACTGACACCTCACAGGGCTGAGTACTCCTCTGAGACAAAACTTCCAGAGGAACGATCAGGCAGCAGCATTTGCGGTTCACCAATATCCGCTGTTCTGCAGCCACCGCTGCTGACACCCAGGCAAAGAAGATCTGGAGTGGACCTGTAGCAAACTCCAACAGACCTGCAGCTGAGGGTCCTGTCTGTTAGAACGAAAACTAACAAACAGGAAGGACATCCACATCAAAAACCCATCTGTATGTCACCATCATCAAAGACCAAAGGTAGATAAAACCACAAAGATGGGGAAAAAACAGAGCAGAAAAACTGGAAACTCTAAAAATCAGAGCACATCTCCTACTCTAAAGGAAAGCAGCTCCTCACCAGCAACAGAACAAAGCTGGACAGAGAATGACTTTGACGAGTTGAGAGAAGAAGGCTTCAGAAGATCAGACTACTCCGAGCTACAGGAGGAAGTTCAAAACAATGGCAAAGAAGTTAAAAACTTTGGAAAAAAATTAGATGAATGGATAACTAGAATAACCAATGCAAAGAAGTCCTTAAAGGACCTGATGGAGCTGAAAACCAAGGCACGAGAACTATGTGATGAACGCACAAGCCTCAGTAGCCAATGCAATCAACTGGAAGAAAGGGTATCAGTGATGGAAGATGAAATGAATGAAATAAAGCAAGAAGAGAAGTTTAGAGAAAAAAGAATAAAAAGAAACGAACAAAGCCTCCAAGAAATATGGGACTATATGAAAAGACCAAATCTACGTCTGATTGGTGTACCTGAAAGTGACGGGGAGAATGGAACCAAGTTGGAAAACACTCTGCAGGATATTATCCAGGAGAACTTCCCCAATCTAGCAAGGCAGGCCAACATTCAAATTCAGGAAATACAGAGAACGCCACAAAGATACTCCTTGAGAAGAGCAACCCCAAGACACATAATTGTCAGATTCACCAAAGTTGAAATGAAGGAAAAAATGTTAAGGGTAGCCAGAGAGAAGGGTCGGGTTACCCACAAAGGGAAGCCTGTCAGACTAACAGCTGATCTCTTGGCAGAAACTCTACAAGCCAGAAGACAGTGAGGGCCAATATTCAACATTCTTAAAGAAAAGAATTTTCAACCCAGGATTTCATATCCAGCCAAACTAAGCTTCATAAGTTAAGGAGAAATAAAATCCTTTACAGACAAGCAAATGCTGAGAGATTTTGTCACCACCAGGCCTACCCTAAAAGAGCTCCTGAAGGAAGCACGAACCATGGAAAGGAACAACCGGTACCAGACACTGCAAAAACATGCCAAATTGTAAAGACCATCGAGGCTAGGAAGAAACTGCATCAACTACTGAGCAAAATGGCCAGCTGACATCATAATGACAGGATCAAATTCACACATAACGATATTAACTTTGAATGTAAATGGGCTAAATTCTCCAATTAAAAGACACAGACTGGTAAACTGGATAAAGAGTCAAGACCCATCAGTGTGCTGTATTCAGGAAACCCATCTCACATGCAGAGACACACATAGGCTCAAAATAAAGGGATGGAGGAAGATTTACCAAGCAAATGGAAAACAGAAAAAGGCAGGGGTTGCAATCCTAGTCTCAGATAAAACAGAATTTAAACCAACAAAGATCAAAAGAGACAAAGAAGGCCATTACATAATGGTAAAGGGATCAATTCAACAAGAAGAGCTAACTATCCTAAATATATATGCACCCAATACAGGAGCACCCAGATTCACAAAGCAAGTCCTTAGAGACCTACAAAGAGACTTAGACTCCAACACAATAATAACGGGAGACTTTAACACCCCACTGTCAACATTAGACAGATCAATGAGACAGAAAGTTAACAAGGATATCCAGGAATTGAACTCAGCTCTGCACCAAGCAGACCTAATAGACATCTACAGAACTCTCCACCCCAAATCAACAGAAAATACATTCTTTTCGGCACCACACCACACCTATTCCAAAATTGACCACATAGTGGGAAGTAAAGCACTCCTCAGCAAATGTAAAAGAAAAGAAATTATAACAAACTGTCTCTCAGACCACAGTGCAATCAAACTAGAACTCAGGATTAAGAAACTCCCTCAAAACTGCTCAACTATATGGAAACTGAACAACCTGCTCCTGAATGACTACTGGGTACATAACGAAATGAAGGCAGAAATAAAGATGTTGTTTGAAACCAATGAGAACAAAGACACAACATACCAGAATCTCTGGGACACATTGAAAGCAGTGTGTAGAGGGAAATTTATAGCACTAAATGCCCACGGGAGAAAACAGGAAAGATCTAAAATTGACACCCTAACATCACAATTAAAAGAACTAGCAAAGCAAGAGCAAACACATTCAAAAGCTAGCAGAAGGCAAGAAATAACTAAGATCAGAGCAGAACTGAAGGAAATAGAGACACAAAAAACCCTTCAAAAAATTAATGAATCCAGGAGCTGGTTTTTGTAAGAGATCAACAAAATTCATAGACCACTAGCAAGACTAATAAAGAAGAAAACAGAGAAGAATCAAATAGACGCAATAAAAAATGACAAAGGGGATATCACCACCAATCCCACAGACATACAAACTGCCATCAGAGAATACTATAAACACCTCTATGCAAATAAACTAGAAAATCTAGAAGAAATGGATAAACTCCTCAACACATATACCATCCCAAGACTAAACCAGGAAGAAGTTGAACCTCGGAATAGACCAATAACAGGCTCTGAAATTGAGGCAATAATCAATAGATTACCAACCAAAAAATGTCCAGGACCAGATGGATTCACAGCCGAATTCTACCAGAGGTACAAGCAGGTACCATTCCTTCTGAAACTATTCCAATCAACAGAAAAAGGGGGAATCCTCCCTAAGTCATTTTATGAGGCCAGCATCATCCTGATACCAAAGCCTGGCAAAGACACAACAAAAAAAGAGAATTTTAGACCAATATCCCTGATGAACATTGATGTAAAAATCCTCAATAAAATACTGGCAAAGCAAATCCAGCAGCACATCAAAAAGCTTATCCACCATGATCAAGTGGGCTTCATCCCTGGGATGCAACGCTGGTTCAACATACGCAAATCAATAAATGTAATCCAGCATATAAACAGAACCAAAGACAAAAACCGCATGATTATCTCAATAGATGCAGAAAAGGCCTTTGACAAAATTCAACAACGCTTCATGCTAAAAACTCTCAATAAATTAGGTATTGATGGGACGTATCTCAAAACAATAAGAGCTATCTATGACAAACCCACAGCCAATATCATACTGAATGGGCAAAAACTGGAAGCATTCCCTTTGAAAACTGGCACAAGACAGGGATGCCCTCTCTCACCACTCCTATTCAACATGGTGTTGGAAGTTCTGGCCAGGGCAATTAGTCAGGAGAAGGAAATAAAGGATATTCAATTAGGAAAAGAGGAAGTCAAATTGTCCCTGTTTGCAGATGACATGATTGTATATCTAGAAAACCCCATTGTCTCAGCCCAAAATCGCCTTAAGCTGATAAGCAACTTCAGAAAAGTCTCAGGATACAAAATCAATGTACAGAAATCACAAGCATTCTTATACACCAATAACAGCCAAACAGAGAGCCAAATCATGAGTGAACTCCCGTTCACAACTGCTTCAAAGAGAATAAAATACCTAGGAATCCAACTTACAAGGGATGTGAAGGACCTCTTCAAGGAGAACTACAAACCACTGCTCAGTGAAATAAAAGAGGATACAAACAAATGCAAGAACGTTCCATGCTCATGGGTAGGAAGAATCAATATCATGAAAATGGCCATACTGCCCAAGGTAATTTATAGATTCAATGCCATCCCCATCAAGCTACCAATGACTTTCTTCACAGAATTGGAAAAAACTACTTTAAAGTTCATATGGAACCAAAAAAGAGCCTGCATAGCCAAGTCAATCCTAAGCCAAAAGAACAAAGCTGGAGGCATCACGCTACCTGACTTCAAACTATACTACAAGGCCACAGTAACCAAAACAACATGGTACTGGTACCAACACAGAGCTGTAGACCAATGGAACAGAACAGGGCCCTCAGAAATAATGCCGCATATCTACAACTATCTGATCTTTGACAAACCTGACAAAAACAAGCAATGGGGAAAGGATTCCCTATTTAATAAATGGTGCTGGGAAAACTGGCTAGCCATATGTAGAAAGCTGAAACTGAATCCCTTCCTTACACCTTATACAAAAATTAATTCAAGATGGATTAAAGACTTACATGTTAGACCTAAAACCATAAAAACCTTAGAAGAAAACCTAGGCAATACCATTCAGGTCATAGGCATGGGCAAGGACTTCATGTCTAAAACACCAAAAGCAATGGCAACAAAAGCCAAAATTGACAAATGGGATCTAATTAAACTAAAGAGTTTCTGCACAGCAAAAGAATCTACCATCAGAGTGAACAGGCAACCTACAGAATGGGAGAAAATTTTTGCAACCTACTCATCTGACAAAGGGCAAATATCCAGAATCTACAATGAACTCAAACAAATTTACAAGAAAAAAACAAACAACCCCATCAAAAAGTGGGCAAAGGATAGGAACAGACACTTCTCAGAAGAAGACATTTATGCAGCCAAAAAACACATGAAAAAATGCTCACCATCACTGGCCATCAGAGAAGTGCAAATCAAAACCACAATGAGATACCATCTCACACCAGTTAGAATGGCGATCATTAAAAAGTCAGGAACCAACAGGTGCTGGAGAGGATGTGGAGAAATAGGAACACTTTTACATTGTTGGTGGGACTGTAAACTAGTTCAACCCTTGTGGAACTCAGTGTGGCGATTCCTCAGGGATCTAGAACTGGAAATACCATTTGACCCAGCCATCCCATTACTGGGTATATACCGAAAGGATTACAAATCATGCTGCTATAAAGACACATGCACACGTATGTTTATTGCAGCACTATTCACTTGGAACCAACCCAAATGTCCAACAATGATAGACTGGATTAAGAAAATGTGGCACATATACACCATGGAATACTATGCAGCCATAAAAAAGGATGAGTTCATGTCCTTTGCAGGGACATGGATGAAGCTGGGAACCATCATTCTCAGCAAACTATCGCAGGGACAAAAAACCAAACACCGCATGTTCTCACTCATAGGTGGGAATTGAACAATGAGAACACATGGACACAGGAAGGGGAACATCACACACCGGGGACAGTTGTGGGGTGGGGGGAGTGGGGAGGGATAGCATTAGGAGATATACCTAATGCTAAATGACGAGTTAATGGGTGCACCACACCAACATGGCACATGTATACATATGTAACAAACCTGCACGTTGTGCACGTGTGCCCTAAAACTTAAAGTATAATAATAATAAAATTTAAAAAAAAAAGACATTGATAAAGTTGTTGACTTCAGTGAAGGGATGCTATGGATGTTTGGGAGAGCATTTTCTAACATTACTTTGACGTTAATGCCTGAGAACCAATCATTTACTCACAATACTGTGCTTTACACCCATCACTATCCCTTTAAGCCAATGGGTTGAATGGAATCACAGATCTGACTCTATGTGGCATCTTCTGATGTTCTCAAATCAGCTTAGAGATGGTGTCTAAATAGTCCTTTAACCATGGCCATTTCATATGATACCTCTGCTATCCTTCTGAAAAAAAGAATCCAAATCTCGGTGTGTTTATTACAGTGCCTTAGCTGCCTCAGAAGATTTAATCTGTCTGACTGACTGTACATGGAGAAACATTCTTTGCTAGTCTGCATTTTATTTTAAAGTTTACAAAAAATAAAGATGAAAATGTCAATATAAATGGAGCATGCCTGGCTGTAAAAGGCCAGTTGTGCCTGTTTCAGACATTCTTATATTTTGTTATCAATTTGTTCCAAAGTCCAAAAATGTTCATATATCACAGCAGATACTTAAACAACAAACGGCTAGTTTCTTTCCATTGGAAGCCTGACCTTCTCAGTGGCAGATTGTGGGAACATAGGCTTCTTAGTTTTAAAGAAGCAAATAAACTTACAAATGAAGTTACCTGTTGGTAAGTTCCATGATGGGAACAAAGAGAGGGCCTCTGTAAATATTATTCACCCCACTGCTGGGTCCGTCCGTCTAAAGGCCGTGATTGATGATGTCACCAAAACAAAGGAGTGCATTTAGTCTAATAAGCCAACTTGATGAGACATTGAAAGGTTGGAATTATGTATGGCAGAAGACAATTATGCAAGCTAAATGATTCTTTAATTAATAATGAGATCCATCACAGACTGAAGAGAAAGACTCACAGGATGGAAAGCATTGTGATTTACTCTGTGTGTGTCCATATGTGTCTGCAGTGTATATATTTTGGGATGTAAATGATATATGCACAGTGTGGGTGCTGTGGCATCTGAATCTATGTGCTTATTGTCTGAGATCATGACTCATTTGTACACTGGGTAGGTGGATGTCTAGAATGTACTAATTGTTTCTTAAGCAGTAGAAGGCTTTGCCTGGTTCCTAAATCCATATGGTTTTATTAGAAAAACAGTTGAATTTCATTGTTGTCATGTATGTCCCCCTATTTTCAGAATACAAGTAGTTGCCTTATGCTGTCCCAATTTAATTTTTTTAAACATTAAGCCAAACCATGGAAGTACCCAAACATCAATATCAATGTAAAGGCATAAATTAACAAAATGCCATTTAGTTCACTTTTAAATATTTCCCAGTGGTAGGATTTGGCTGTGTCCCACCCCAATCTCACCTTGAATTGTAGTTCCCATAATCCCCATATGTCGTGAGAGGAACCTGGTAGGAGATAATTGAATCATGAAGGTGATTACTTCCGTGCTGTTCTTGTGATAGTGAGTGAGTTCACACAAGATCTCATGGTTTTATAAGGGGCTTTTTCCCTTTTGCTCAGTAATTCTCTCTCCTGCCATCATGTGAAGAGGGACATGTTTGATTCCCCTTCCTCCACAATTGTAAGTTTCCTGAGGCCTCCCCAGTCATGTGGAACTGTGAGTCAATTAAACCTCTTCCCTTTATAAATTACCCAGTCTTGGGTATGTCCTTATGGCAGTGTGAGAATGGACTAATACATCCAGTCTCTGGATTAACACCTGCTTCTAACTAACTAGTGACATTTGTTTTAAAATTTTAGATATTTTGGAACAACAATGGTTTTCAAACTGTGTTATATGGAACACTAAGTATTCAATAGAGCTCTCCCCTTCTTCCTCTCCACCCCCACAGAAATGACAAAGCGTGGGAGGTAAGGGAAACAAAGAGACAGAACTCCAACCCAAAGAGCTGCAGTTTTATTTGGGGGAAAGGCAAATTTATTTTATGGTTTTGTGTAAACAAAGATTTCTATGGCTATAAGTAGTTTTAAAACCATCATTAAAAATGCATTTGAAACAAAACTAAAGTTAGTTTCTTACTTCATACTATATGTGAGAAAATTTCACATAAAACATAAAACTCATAGTATGGAAGTACAAGAAAAGATATTTGGAGAATTTCAAAAATAATTTTAAGTTATTAAAACAAAGCCTATACACCCCCACCAACATGCGTGCATGTGTGCGTGCATGTGCACACACACACACACATATATATACCTTGCCAGATTAGAAAAACAATTAAACTTCTATAGAGCACAAAACAACATTAAAAAGTTAAAAGAGAAAGATATAATAAAAATAGCATACTAGGAGGGAATATTTGCAGCATTCATAACAGACAACAAGTTAGTATCCATAGTAAATACAGAACTCTTAAACATGTATTCAGAAGTAACTAGAATTAAAACAACAAAGGATATTAACAAGAAATGTATTAAAGAATATAAATGGGCAATAAACATAAGATGCTAAATTCACCAGTAACCAGGTAAAATGTAAATTTTATAAAGTGTATTGTTTTTACCCTATTAGACTGGCAAAAATATAAAAATAAGCCTGCTAATGTCAAATGTTCATGAGAGTGTAGAAAAACAAGCAATATCTAAGGTCTTTGTGGAGTTTTAACAGACTTTTTGAAGGACAATATGGCAATGCCTTTCAACTTTTGAAATATGCATAGGCAGTTATTCACCAATTCCATTTCTAGTAATATATCTTAGAAATACTTCATGTCATTTACTTATTTGTTTACTTACTTGTTAATTTTTTTGTGGTGGTGGTTTTAAAACATTTCGGCAAATTATTTTACACTCCTTCATTTAAAAGGTGAAGTATAATTCACTTCCCCTTGAATGTTGACCAGACTTTTTTTATTGATATATAACAGATGTGCATATTTCCAGGGTACATAGGATAATCTGATACATTCATATAGTCAAATCAGGGTAATTGGGATAACCATCACCTTAAATATGTATGTTTTCCTTATGATAAGTTCCTTTGAATTATTCTCTTCTAGCTATTTTGAAGGGTGCAATAGAGTCATGTTAACTATAGATACCCTATTAATTCCCCTCCCCTTGAATGTTGGACAAAGTTTGTGACTTGCTTTAACCGAGAAAATGTGACGGTAGTGACGCTGGGTGACTTCCAAGGCTAGGTCACAGAAAGGATAACTTCTACCTGGCTCTTGCTTTCTTGGATTGCTCATGTTAGGGAAGCCAGCTGCCATGTCATGAGGACACTCAAGCAGCCCATGTTGGAAGAACTGAGGCGCTATGGAGAGGCCTATGCTAAGAAGAACTGAGGTCTCCCACTAACATCTTGCATCAAACTACCAACCATGTTACTGAGCCACCTTAGGTCCTCCAGCCCTAGTCCAGTCTTTGAATGACTGTAACATCTTGACTGTACCCTAATGAGAGATTCCAATCCTCAACCAGCCAGCTATGCTGCTTCAAGATCTCTGACCAGCAGGAACTATGAGCTAATAAAGAATTCTCATTATTTGAGGCCACTAACTTTTAATATAATTTGTTATGCCCGAAGTGTATGATTGAATTAATTGTGGTTAACCCTTATCACGAAACATATGCAACTGTTAAATTAAGACAGTATCTCTATGTATTCTAAAATAAAAAATCTTCAGGAAATATTAAATAAATTATTCAAACAATATACGTTTTATTAATTTTTCATATTAAGATACATTTGGATATATATAGTTTACATACACACCTCTATACAGATGTGTGTAACTGCATATGTAAATGCTTTCAGAAACCTATGGAATAGAGGATTGGACTAAGAAAGATAGCAAGGGGACTTCCACCTTATGAATTTCTGTGTATTTGAAATTTTTTAATTACAAACATGTTTTGTGTATTCATATTTACTTTTATAATTTTATTTAAAAAATTTTAACTAATGAAAAATAAATGAAGTAGCATACTCTTCTTTGAAGGGCTTTCGTTGTTGATATTAGTGAATTACCAGGTAGTAGAAGACAAGAAAATGGGATGAGTTAAAATGCATAATTTACTTTAATAGCTTTGTGGCTGAGAGGAAGCAAGTAAAATGATTGTTATAGTTTTGATTCATGGTCAGGTGGCTTTATGTCATTCTATGGCCCTAGCCTACCTGTTTGTCAAATGGGACAGTGAGTACGGAGAGGTAAGCTGGGGAAGGAATGAGGATGACTTAGTCTAAATACACCCCTACCAGTGGACAAAGTCCAGAACCCACACCAGATGCCAGATGAATTGTAGGTCGATAGCGACATCTTCATGTACAAAGGACAGCACATTAAAGAGGGGGATGAAATAGATATCTACCTGTGGGAGCTATTGATTGGATTTAATGCTAGGGCTTTTATCCCATTATGCTGCATGTAATATGCTGAGGATTTCAGAAAAAAAATAATACATGGGCTGTCCCAAGAACTATAGGTCAAAAGGGAGTGGATAATAGAATGTGAATAAAAAGGAAAAATTGATTTGCTGATAGTGATTATTAGGCAAGATTATAGAAGGCAATATTACAACTAGCAGAGCATCACTAAATGATGCCCATTCCTTAATACAAAGCCATCTGAATCAACCTGAAGTACAAAAGATGAAGACTCAAGTGACCAAGGCAAATTTTAATTGGAATTACAAATATCGCATGGCAAATAAAGGGCTCCTTGAGAGTATTTATGTAAAATCTTATGTCTTTCTTTCAAAGATTTCTTAAGAGGAGTTCCAGAAAATATCTTTAATTCCAGTTTATAGATTTTCCTTATTTTAATGTTTGCACCTCTAGTGTAGGCATATTATAAATGGAATTGACTACGTTACTAATGCTTTTAATCTGATTTTACTGGCGCCTAGGGCTGATGACTAGGAATCAGCATGTGTGTCATTAAAAAAAAATAAAGTTATATAGAAACTAAATTACATGTCCAAATAAACACATTTATCTGTGTGCTTTATTTATTATCCCAAGTAGCCAAAGCACAGAGTCCTGACTGCCTGTCTTCAAAAATAAAGTAGCTACAAAGCAGTTAGTCTGGCTGCTGGAATCAAAAACTCTCACTTGATGAAAGAACTGGCAAGAATAGCCCACTATGTTATGATGTATTCCTTCGTTTATAACTCCCGGATCTCAGGCCTGGAACTAGACGTTTGTGGGGCACTGCATGCATTTTTGTAAGACTATTTATATGCAGGAAATAATTGACAGTATTTTAGTCACTCAAATCGATTGCTGAGCGATCGACCATTGGATTGCTACTCAGTCGATCTGAGTTGGCACTTCAGACAAGTGAAGTATCAGCACTTACTGGGTACTATTAATTGCAAGTCCTCTCCATGAGCCTATGATTTGGACCTGATGGAAGATACGGACAGAAATGCTAGAATATGTGGGCTGAGAATTTTGCATGAAATAAGTGAAAGGGAAGTGAGGCACTGTCCAAAATGTCAAAACTGATTCCTGAAATCCCAGGGGACTTTTTTCTCAACTTGCATTTGATTATATTTACTTTGGAATGTTTTTAGATTCTGTACTATGTCAATCATAAATCAATGCATCATGAATGGCTGCCCCTTCTGCCCATTGTCTACCAAATCTACTGCAAAGACTTCCCAGTGACCTTGCCACCTGCTAAAAACCTGTCCTGACCACCTCTGGCTGAGGGGTCCTGGTTGTCTTCTGCCCTCTGATTACAATTACTTTCTGAGCAATTTAATGGGAAGCACCTCCCTTTTTTTAGTCATTGCTTCTGTTGTTATTTTGATTATTTAAATTATGTGTGCTATCATTTGACTTTGTGCATTGTTTATAACTCAGGTACACAAGAAGCTTTCAGAGTGCAAATGGTTGTATTTTATCTTGTTTCCTTTTCTTTCTTTTTTTTTCCTTCCTCACTCCTCCCTCCCCTCAACAACCACCTGTGCCTTCCAGGTCTATGATAGTGCCGTACACTTAGGAGATTCTTGTACACGTTTGTTGTTTTGCAATTTGAAATTCATGATACATTCTGCCCTCAGAAACTTCAGATCTTAATTGTGTCAGGACAACATGTACACTCCAAAAAATCTTTATTACCAATTATAGAGACAAAGGAATGGGAAATATATTTAAGAACAAGAATGTTTTCACCATACAATTTACTCTTCTCAATATGTGCACAATGAGGTGGGTATTATTGTCATTTTTACTTTACAGATAAGAAAACCAGGCTGATAGATCTTAAGCAATTTGCCTAGCCTTACTGGTTTTAAGAGGCAGAGTTGATTCAAACCCGGGTCAGCTGGGTTCTATCCTCTGGACCAGTTCAACAATAAACAACATTAAAGAGGCTGCACTAATATCCCTACAAAGCAGGGTAACCACTGAGGGAATGTGGAGTGAGGGAAGCATGTGGAAATGGGTCATGAATTGGGAGAGGCTTCCTGGGTGAGGGAACATTGAAAGGAGCGAGAGAGAGGGAATATAGCTCTGAAAAATAGAGGATGGGATAAGTGGAGCAAGGTAATAAAGAAAAGAAAAAGCCTTTGCCATTAAGGCTGTGGAAGTATTTACAGTTGGTTTCCAATTTCCTCATATTTTTCTATCTAGC
The DNA here is from genome assembly GCF_000001405.40 of Homo sapiens. Classification (NCBI taxonomy): domain Eukaryota; kingdom Metazoa; phylum Chordata; class Mammalia; order Primates; family Hominidae; genus Homo; species Homo sapiens. The sequence continues at coordinate 59,339,069 of NC_000002.12, forward strand.
CAAACAGCAATAAAGGTATGTGGAAAAAACATATATATTAAATTACTAGGTGTCAGATTTCTGATTTGATAACACTTGGTGGAAAAATAACAGTTATTATTACTCTTCATTTATCTAGCTCTGAGAGTGTACACAGCACAGTATAATAAGTAGAATTTATCAGAAGAGGGACAAGATCGGTGCCCTGAGGGCTTTTCCACTTGAGTAGAGGCTCAAGTGGAAACTGTGACACCCAAGAATCAGGGCACTGCCCTCACGGAGATGTGGACTCTCCTGCTCTCACCGGCTGCAGCTGAAGATATGTGGTCTTATTGTGGGTGGCATTTTTCTTTTGTGGGAAGATATGGAAAGAGATTTTAATGTCTGTCTTCTAGACAGAAGATGTTAATTGAAATCTTTTTCTAACATTATATGTCTCACATTACTACATGTGAAAAAAAAGAGAGGCATTTTTTTTTTCTTTAAGAGCCTGCTTTGTGTCTTCTGAGCAGCGAGCAAGGTTCAATCATGAGCCAGTGAGACTGAACACCTGGGAGCAAGGGCAGATGGACAGCTGTCTTCCTCAGGGTGCCCAGGAATACAAATTTAGGCTCATAACAATTCAGCGTTCTAATTACAGAGGATGCACCTGTACTAGTAAATATGTACACAAAAATACCTTGCTTATGCACTGTCGCCCAGACGTCCAGAAGATAATCAAGAAATAGCGAGTAAGCAAAACAAAGGTAAGAAACCTAAAGTTTCTTCACTCAAATTTGACCAGAGTCTCAATCTTAGCTTGTTAACTTTTACTCTGGGCACAAATTTAATAAACGTTGTTTATAGTTGCCTAGCTCCCACTCAGTACTTTAGCAGCAGCAAATGAGAAGTATGGGGGACATGACAGAGAGCTGGATAACAAGGGAGGAGACAGAAATGCTGAAAACATACAGCTAGAACTGGGGAGAGGTGGGGAGCCCACAGCATAGAGCAGACAACCCTATAACGTCAGTGGTTTCTGAGGGCATCAGCACTTCTGCAAAGGATGTAACTCAGAATTCAGTTTGTTTGTTCCAGGTGCTATATATTAAATATTATCTGTAATAAAATAATTATATCTTAATTGAATTAAAAAATTGTGATATTCTGCAAAAACAAATATGAAACCAGCTACTCCATTTGAAAGAGAAAACTAAAATAGTTGAAATATAAACGTGAGAATATTGAACTCATGGTGTAGAATAGAAGCAGCAAGTAAACTTTGGATTTAAGTTTAAATAATTGCTATTAATTATTACGAAGATTTAAGGTAAATGTTATTAAAAATGTCTTAAATTAGCTTGCAAATGCAAAATTCTAATGATCAGTTGGCAGGAAATTCAGGTTATTCCAAAGACCTTATGAGGTAAGAGATGTCAGAAACTAAAATCATACTAAAGTTTATTTAACATTGAATAAATATTTATTGAACCCCTGTTTTGTGTCAGAAGCTATACCATATGCTAGGATCTTAGTACAAAACAGTAGAAACTTATAAGCATAAGCACGACATTCCACATGTGAACTGGACAATAAACAAATATGTAAATATATAATTTCTGCTTGTGATACATGCAATGCAGAATAAACCAGGGTAAGAGTGTTAAGGGACAGGCAAGTGGAGGGACTGCTACTATGTTAAGTATGGTATTCTTAGAAATCCTCTCTTTGAAGGTCACATTTGGACAGAGCCTGTGAACACAATATGGCCATCCAGAGGAAGAGAATTCCAGGAAAAGTGCTAGGTGAGTGCAAAGGCCCTGAGGCAGGGTTGAGTTTGATGTATTTCGCAAGCAGTAAGAAGCAGAATGAGACAGGGCGAGGAGGTACATGACTTTGACAGCATAGATGCTATTCCAGAGGAACAGGACCTACCGTTGAGTTAGATGTGGGACATAATGAAAGGGGAGAGGAATAAAGGAGAAATTTACGTATTCTCCGTACTCTCACCCTCCCCTCACCCTGATACCAGATACTGGGTAAATAGTGAAACCAACTGCTGTACTGAAGAAAACTAGAAAAGAAGCATATACATGAGGAAGTTGAGGGGTTTGGACTAGAGGGTGATTCCACTGGAGATCTGGAAAGAGGGTGGAGATCTGGAAGATGGATGCTTGGGATCCACGAGAGTACAGAGGATACATAAAGCTAGCAGGCTGGATATGAGGGCTCAGGCAGGGGGCATAGATACGAAGACAAAAGGTCTAAAGACTGGCTCACAACTCATGCATTTAGAAATCAGCAGAGAAGGAGTGTGCAAAGAAATAAGGAGCTCAAGCGTCCGTGGAAAGATAGAGACTTAGTCCTAAAAGTGGAAAATGAAAGTATTTAAGAAAGGGTGAGTGATCAGCTGAGGTATCAGCTGAGAAGTTGAGGAAGTCAGATGTGCACTGAGAACCCAAAGCTTGTCAGATTGGGCAATCTAAGGCCATTGGCAATCTAGAGGTGGGGCCTGGGAGATGGATTTATAGCTCATACATAGTTTAAATGCTCGAAAATGATAATGTTGTACAAAGTTTAAAGATAAAACAAACTTCTAAAATAATAAATACACCTTAGAGGGATGACTTCTACCCCACCCTTCCCTGGTGAGCCCCTATTCCTGATAAGAGAATGTCACATTCTTGTATGTAACGGGGCGCAGAATTTTGGGCAGAACCATCCCTTTTTGTTATGGTGAGTCACCAACGGGAGCTAAAACAGCCCATAATTTAGAGGAGAGCTAATTCAAACAATTTAAAGAAATAGAAACATTAAGAACCTCATATTGGACTACTGAGTCAAATGCAAAGGCATAGCTGGGGGATTGAGAGGAACCCTCAGTAGTCCACCCATGACTTAACTGAAAGAAAACCAATCCTAATAAATAATGAATTTGAGTTTATTGCTTTGATTTATGCATTTTACTTTTTTCTTCATCAAGTGAAATAAAATCACAGGGAAGCTACACTGCCTGTTCGGAATTTTGTAGGAAAAAAGAGGAAAGAGATGTGGGTGCTTGTGGGACAAGGAATGGTGTGGGGCAGCTCCTTTACAGGGAATGATATTTCCCCTGCAATTGAAAAAATTTGATATAATTGCTCATTGGGAGAAAATCTAACCATCATCACCATGCTTTTTCTTTAGAGCCACCTTTGTCTTATTGTATGTGGTTGTGGAATTGATGTATGGTAACATTCCTTTTTCTTTTTTAAGTACACCATGAAGGAAAAAGAAAAGAAAAGAAAAAAAAAAAAAGAATTCCATTGTGATAGTGAGGCAGCCAAGATTTAAAGGTTGTGCTGGACTTACAATTGAAATGCAAATCACTCTTTGCAAACAGCCTCCTGCTGAGGCCCAAATTTTTACAGATCAGGTTCTGCTGTCCTGATGAGGAATCACTGAACAGCATTTCCCAGGATTCACAAATTAGTTGCCATCTAAGGTATCATTTTCTACGTTATAATTGTAACTTACCAGAGGAAACTTTGTCACAAAAGACAGTACCCTGTGCTTCCATTATTTTTCCAGCTGCACCGCCACTAAGGATACTTTCACACACAATAAAAATACACACATCACGACCTCCCTCTCTGAAATACACACTCCTTGAATATAAACATTTTGAGAATATTGGTGTGCTTTTCTTCCCGTTCTTTTTTAGATGTGCAGGTGGTAAAATACTGGCTGCCATGAACTGCAGACAATAAATAAAGATTACCAGCTTCTTATGGATGCCTGATAGAAATGTGCCAGCCTGGGAAAGCCTGATTCTCCAGGCACAGTCATTCTCTGGGCAAGACATCTGTCACTAATGAGGCCCATTTTCTAGGTGCTCTTGAATGTGCTGGTAGGGGTGGTCCAGTGCAGACATGCTTAGTGGCCCCCAGAAATAGGAGACCCTTAAAACCCTGAAATGTTACCTTTCCTCTACACATTAAAAATTGCTAATACTCTAAGAGGGGGCAGAATTATACACAGGACAGGGAAAACCAACACACACACAAAAGTTGAGAGTTTAAAAGCCAAAGGTGAGAGATGAAAATAATTCCAAGAAGTAGGGCTGTATTGTGGGAGAATCAGTAGCTAGTACCCTTACACTTGGTCTTGTCATTGACCCTTGCTAGCTGAGTTATCTTGGCAAATCCCAGAAATGTCTGTGGACATCACTGTCACATACAAATGTCTGGATCAGAATTGCTCAAAGAGAGGTCTGAGAATCACCTGTCCCAGGAGTACACAGGGAATTTGCTCTGAAAAAAGGTTCAAGGGATTCATCCCCAGAGATTCTGATTTACTATATCTGGGATAGGCTCCAGGAACTTGTAATTTTAACAAGTTCCCCAGATAATTTTTTAATAGATTTTATTTTTTAGAGCAGTTTTAAGTTCACAGCAAAATTGAACAGAAGGTATGGAAATTTTCCATATACTCCCTGCCCCTACACATGCATAGCCTCCGCTATTATCAACATCCCCCCCAGAGTGTTATGTTTGTTCCAATTGATTAACCTACATAAACACATTATCCCCCAAGTCCATAGTTTATATTAGGGTTCACTCTTGACATTCCATTTTCTATGGATTTGGATAAATTTATAATGATGTGCATCCACCATTGTAGTATCATACAGAATAGTTTTACTGCACGAAAGATGCTCTGTCCCTCTCCTATTCTCCCTTCCTCTCCCCTAGCCCCTGAAAACTATGGATCTTTTTACTACCTTCCATAATTTTGCCTTTTCAGAATGTCACGTAGTTAGAATCATACAGCGTAGACTTTTCAGACTGGCTTCTTTCACTTGTTAGTATGCATTTAAGTTTCCTCCAAGGCTTTTCATGGTTTGAGAGGTCATTTCTTTTTTGCCATGAATAATATTCCACTGTCTGGATGTACCACAGTTTATTTATCCAGCTCCAGAAGATTTTAACGCATACTAAATTTGAGAAGAACTGCACTAAATGAACTCTGAAGTTCCTACCAGTCTTCAGGCTTGATAAATTCATAGGTTAGTCGAGCATACGCACCATGAAGTTTGAACCCCTTAATCAGAAATGTATGTGTCTATCTATTGATCGATCAATCGATCGATCTATCCATCCATCCATCTGTCTGTCCATCTGTCTATCAATCCAGCTAAAGAGAAACAGAAGGCAAAAAGCTTGCTCCAGAAGATGTTGCTAGCTACATCTAGAGAGAAGCTACTAGAGGTCCCTTCCGTCAAGTATGTGCTAAGAACATGATCAAATCCCAGAGATCAATTTCCACATCCTACTGGTAGATGCAAAGAGATGATTCTTATAGCAGCAGTCTTCCTCTGCCAGGGCAGGAGAGACTCCTGAGGAAGAGAGAGGGGCACAGGGAGAAATACAGTCCTACCTCCAGTCCCTGTGGTTTGGAGAGGAGGAAAAAAAACTGAGGAATGAGGTTCCTACTCTTCTCCCAATGTATGTTTTTGCCTCCAATTTCATCACAGAAACTGAACCACAGTTTCTGTGATGAAATTGGAGGCAAAAACATACATTGGGAGAAGAGTGGGAATTAAAGATTGAAGAAAAGGGGATTTGGGGTTATTACTGAAGGGAGTGCATGTGAAATCTGTGCAAAGTGAAGAAAAAGTTGTGGTGAGTTGCTTGAGTCCCAACTGGGGTGATAGCATGCTACCGTCTTAATGTCCCCCCACCCCCCAATTCACATGTTGAGACCTAATCACCAATGCAATAATATTAAGAGGTGAGACCTTTAGGGGGTGATTAGATCACTGAGATGAAGCCCTCATGAATGGAATGAGAGCTCTGATAAAAAAGGTGTGAGGAAGCTTGTTTGGCCCTTCTACCACGTGAGAGAAAAGGAACCATCTGTGAAGAATTGGCCCTCATCAGGCACCAAATTTACTGGCACCTTGATCTTGGACTTCCCAGCCTCCAGAATTGCAAGAAATAAATTTCTGTTGTTTGTCAGTATTTTTGTTTAGCAACAGACTAAGAAAGAGCCTTTGGCATTTCATTAATGCTAATCAGCTGAATTGTGAGACTGTTTATATCAACATTTGATTCTATGAAAACTAGGGAAACTGGATATTTCTTTACATCTTCATTGATTACATATCATTTTTATGCATGATGAATTGTTGATTAATATACTTAGTTTACATGTTTGCTTATATTTTCTTCTTTAATTTCTTTGACCATTTCATGTGCTGCATAAAGTAACCCTTCATTTTATGTGCTGCAAATAGTTTATTTTATTGTGTTTCTTTTTCAAATGTGGATGTTTCATTTGTATTTACCCAAATCACTGAACTTGCTTTTTATATTTTCTTCCATGTCTATCAACCTTATTGAAGAAAGCCAAATATTTCTAGGATTTTCCTTTTTTTTTTCCTTTAATTTTTGGTTCAACTGATACTTTTTTTGTGGTGCCAATCTTTGTCTTTTTTCCCTCCAAATGGCTAAGGAATTGTACAGTCAACTCTCAATTATTCACAAGTTAGGGAGATTGGCATAACATGCATGGTTATAATACTATTAATTCCCCCCAATGAGTACAGAAAATTATCTGTTTTCCCTCTGTAAAGCTTTCACTTCAATAAACTCTTGACCCAAAGCATCAGCTTGCAATATTAACACTTATCTTCTTTGCAAAAAGATAAAACTGGTTTCACTGGGTGACTGTGCTTTACTTGGTCTTAGTCTTCCCACCCATGATATAAGACATGTTTTAGGGGATTCTCAAAGACTATCTCAACTTTGAAATTGTGTTATTCTTATGAGCACAGTTGACATCCATCACTGTATTAACAAGAAACATAAACCAACCTGCCTTCCTGAGAGCAAGGGTCAAAACTGCAGCCCTTGGGCCATATCTGACCAGTAGCCAGTTTTATAAGGCACTTGAGCTAGTTTTTACATTTTTAAAGAGTTGCTACAGCAGCAGCAAGAATATTTCATAGAGATCCAGAGATCATGTGGAGCCCTTTAGAGAATGATCTTATTGACCCCTGCTTTAGGGTCAGCAGTTATGTCTTTTGTTATCACCAGCACCTCTTCAAAAGTACCATCGGCAGAGAAGGGTATGTGCACCATGTTTCCTTTTCTTCCTGTTCACAGAATTAGAACCTATTTCCCAGCACCCCTTGCAATTAGGGCAGGCCACTGGCTGAACCTTGCAGAATGGGATGTGGGCTGATGTGAGGAATGCCACCTCTAGACTTCTACTAATCCTATGCCCTTCTGGAGATGCATCACACTCCCTCTTTTTCCTGTAAGCCTGTTGTATACAGAAAATCCAGCAGAAGAAACTAGTACTTTAGAAGATGGTGGAGACTTAAGGTAGAGGGAACCTGAGTCCCTGACTGACTTCATGGTAGGTTATACACTGACAAAGAACATCCCATCTGACTCAAATATAAGCTCATGTTGGTAGAGACAGTGAAATGTGGCCATTAATTACAACAGCTGCTAGTATTTATCCCAGCTAATCTTCCCATCATAGCTCAGCTACCGTGTTACTTCTGTCTGCTTTCAGCTTGGAAACCAGAACACCAATACTGTTAAAAACAAAATTGTGACACTAAGGACTAGTCAGTGTCTGAGTGAAAGATTCTATTACATTAATTGAGAGCAAGAACGGAGATTTGGGGAGATCAAAGGCCTTTGTCGATTTCCAGTTTGAGACTTTTTTTCTGAGAGAAAATTTTGATTAAAGAGTGATCTTCAAACAAGTGGAGTGTCAGGCTGTCATCATTATCTGTGTTGAGTCTCCCTTCTTCCTACGTTAGGGCTGGTGCTAATCACAGGTGAATGGCTTAAAGTGAGTATAAGTACACTGTAACTAACCACTCACAAGGTTTAGTTCTAAAGCGATATGAAGAAAAACTCTCCTTGGATATTCATATTGCCTGGGAAGGTCACAGAAATAATTCTAGTAAGTTTCTAAAACAGAGTGCCTCCATGACAGTATGGGAAATACTATATCCAGAATATTTGTACATCACAACAACAACAAATAGGTGTTGACTAGTAAAGCGAACCTGTCCTATTTGGATAAGTTAAAGAGAATGAAGGAAGTTAGCCATTCTAGATTTGAATTCTTGCTGCCCCCTTTAGTAACTGTGTGACTTTTTATGCACACAATCTCTCTGTTCTTCTGTTTCCTCACTTGTAAATAGAGAAAAAGTATAATAATGATATCTACCACATAGCGTTGCAGTAAAGATTAAATATATTATTATCTTTAGTTTAAAACAGTGCAGGCACATGTAAATATTCATTTATTCTTATTATTACATGGATGCAAAATAAAGGAATTAGTTCTATGTGCGAGACCTAATGTCACACTTTGGAAATCTCCATATCCTTTCAGTCATGCATTTCTGTGAACACCCCCCTAGTATTTCACTTTTGTCTAAATTATCCAGTAATTTGTTCCAAGCCAAATTTTAAGATTAGGCTTGAGTTATAGTTGTAACAAGTGGACAGGAAGTGAAGGATATTCCACTGAGATGTAATAACAGGGGAAAGACATAGAAGTTGGAAAGTGGGGTGTGCTTGGTTAGATTAGTTTTGGTGGCTATCTTTATAGTACAGCATATTTTTCTGGTGGTCCTATGTTCTAAAAATGAGAGTTAGAAACAAAAATCGCAAACAAACAAAAATCCCATTATTTTTATCTTCTCTAAAGAAAAGAAGAAAGTAGTCTTTCTTTCAAAATGCCATAAACCCTAGATACCTCTAAGACTTCTTTACATTTTGAATTGGAAGAAAAGGAAATTCATGATCAAAAGAAAACAGTCTATTTTGAAGAAAATCTTTAAGTTGCTACTGGATATACATTATTTAATTGCTTGCAAATGAACAACATTTGGCAGTTTGGATTATCTTGAGAATCTGGGTCTTTGCACATTTTTTAAAAATAAGGGTATCTGTTTTTCCTTTGCTAAAATTTATAGTTGCTCAGAGAGCAGTATGAGGAACTCTATTCTTATTCAGTGCATTTTGAAGGGCTTGCTTCATTTTCCTCAAGGAGAGGGAGATACTTTTTTTTTTTTTTTTTGTCAGAAGGTTTGAAGTCACCTTGTATTCAGTCTCTTAAACAAGTGATAGTTTATCATGAAGAAAAATATATTCAGATATCACATGCAATATGAACACACTAGTTCCTGCTATTAATTCATTATTCTTAGTCCATGCTGCATGCTCCATAGCCTAACATAGTGAAATGAAAGAAATTTTATATATTTTAGTTCTGTCCCTCTACTGGCAGTGGGAGTAAATCCCAAAGTATTTCAGCAGGTGCTATTAATATGCAAATAACAGAGAATACACTATTTCTAATAGACCTCCCAACTGCATGGGAGGCATCGCTGTTGGAGCAAATTAGCTTTCTGTAATTTGCATGCTTTTCCCAACCACCTGGGATTATATTTTAGATCAGAGACAATAAAAGCATATGCAGTTAGCTTAAAATGTAACTAATTTTAGACTTTGAAACAATTTTAACCTAACTTCTTTGTGGTGTTAAACAGCTATTTGCAAAGAAACTTTTATAACAGTCTATAATTTTCATAGCGTTGATTTGCCATGAATGGCCCCATTTCTCTAGCATAAAAACAAATGTGGGAACAGACCAGGTGTATACATTTCCCAATTGACTGAAAAGACACAAGAGGGTGGTGAACTAGAAGCCTGGAAGTATGGATTGTTTGGACAATTCCAAAGGACAGTATTAAATTAAGAGAGAATATGAAATCGGCCCAAATTGAGTGATCAGCCATAACAGTCTATGGCCAGAGGAACAAGCCATAATCATGAAGCCTATTTAGTCCACCCATGAATCTCACACTGTCTATATGTCTGAATACATTAACCAAAATCTCAATAAACCAATAAATATTAAATTAACTGATTTTAGTGATGCCAACCTGTATCTTACAAATAATGTATTATTGGAAATTTTAACCCAGGTTATGACACCCCTTCAGGCTAAAAACTCTCAATAAACTAGGTATTGAATGTATAATAAGAGCTATTATGTATAATAAATTATATTACATATTATAAAATAATAAGAGCTATTTATGACATACCCACAGCCAACATCATACTGAATGGGCAAAAACTGGAAGCATTCCCTTTGAAAACCGGCACAAGACAAGGATGCCCTCTGTCACCACTCCTATTCAACATAGTATTGGAAGTTCTGGCCAGGGCAATCAGGCAAGAGAAAGAAATAAAGGGTATCCAAATACGAAGAGAGGAAGTCAAATTATCTCTGTTTGCAGATGACATGATTGTATATTTAGAAAACCCCATTGTCAGCCGGGCACAGTGGCTCACGCCTGTAATCCCAGCACTTTGGGAAGCCAAGGTGGGCGGATCACGAGGTCCAGAGATTGAGATCATCCTGGGCAAAATGGTGAAACCGTGTCTCTACTAAAAATACAAAAATTAGCTGAGCATGGTGGCACACACCTGTAGTTCCAGCTACTGGGGAGGCTGAGACAGGAGAATTGCTTGAACCCGGAAGGCGGAGGTTGCAGTGAGCTGAGATCATGCCACTGCACTCCAGCCTGGTGACAGAGTGAGACTCTGTCTCAAAAATAAAAAAAGAAAACCCCGCCGTCTCAGCCCAAAATCTCCTTAAGCTGATAAGCGACTTCAGTAAAGTCTCAGGATACAAAATCAATGTGCAAAAATCACAAGCATTCCTATACACCAATAATAGACAAACAGAGAGCCAAATCATAAGTGAACTCCCATTCACAATTGCTACAAAGAGAATAAAATACCTAGGGATACAACTTACAAGGTATGTGAAGGACCTGTTCAAAGAGAACTACAAACCACTGCTCAAGGAAATAAGAGAGAACACAAACAAGTGGAAAACATTCCATGCTCATGGATAGGAAGAATCAGTATCATGAAAATGGCCATACTGTCCAAAGTAATTTGTATATTTAATGCTATCCCCATCAAGCTACCAATGACTTTCTTCACAGAAGTAGAAAAAACTACTTTAAATTTCATATGGAACCAAAAAAGAGCCCATATGGCCAAGACAATCTTAAGCAAAAAGAACAAAGCTGGAGGCATCATGCTACCTGACTTCAAACTATACTACAATGTTACAGTAACCAAAACAGCATGGTACTGGTACCAAAACAGATATATAGATCAATGGAACAGAACAGAGCCCTCAGAAATAATGCCACACATCTACAACCATCTGATCTTTGACAAACCTGACAACAAGCAATGGGGAAAGGATTCCTTATTTAATAATTGGTGTTGGGGAAACTGGCTAGCCATACGCATAAAACTGAAACTGGACCCCTTCTTTACACCATACACAGAATTAACTCAAGATGGATTTAAGACTTAAATGTAAGACCTAAAACCATAAAAACCCTAGAAGAAAACCTAGCCAATACTTCAGGACACAGGCATGGGCAAAGATCATGAGTAAAACACCAAAAGCAATGGCAACAAAAGCCAAAATTGACAAATGGAATCTAATTAAACTAAAGAGCTTCTGCACAGCAAAAGAAACTATCATCAGAGTGAAGAGGCAACCTACAGAATGGGAGAAAATTTTTGCAAGCTACCTATCTGACAAAGGGCTAATATCCAGAATCTACAAAGAACTTAAACAAATTTACAAGAAAAAAAAAACAACCCCATCAAAAAGTGGGCAAAAGATATGAGCAGGCACTTCTCAAAAAAAGACATTTATGTAGCCAACAAACATATGAAAAAAGTTCATCATCACTGGTCATTAGATAAATGCAAATCAAAACCACAATGAGATACCATCACACAACAATTAGAATGGTGATCATTAAAATGTCAGGAAACAACAGATGCTGGAGAGGATGTGGAGAAATAGGAATGCTTTTACATTGTTGGTGGGAGTGTAAATTAGTTCAACCTTTGTGGAAGACAGTGTGGCAATTGCTCAAGGATCTTGAACCAGAAATACCATTTGACCCAGCAATTCTATTACTGGGTATATACCCAAAGGATTATAAATCATTTGACTGTAAGGACACATGCACATGTATGTTTATGGCAGCACTGTTCACTATAGCAAAGACTTGGAACCAACCCAAATTCCCATCAATGATAGTCTGGATAAAGAAAATGTGGCACATATACACCACGGAATACTATGCAGCCATTAAAAAGGATGAGTTCATATCCTTTGCAGGGCCATGAATGAAGCTGGAAACCATCATTCTCAGCAAACTAACACAGGAACAGAAAACCAAACACCACATGTTCTCACGCATAAGTGGCAGTTGAACAATGAGAACACATGGACACAGGGAGGGGAGCATCACACACTGGGGCCTACTGGGGGGTGGGCGGCTAGGGAAGATGGCATTAGGAGAAATACTTAATGTATATGGTGGGTTGATGGGTGCAGCAAACCACCATGGCATATGTATACCTGTGTAACAAACCTGCATGTTCTGCACTTGTATCTCAGAACTTAAAGTATAATAAAAAAAATAGAAAAGTTTTTTGAAAAATATTCAGCCAATCAGGGGGCATCCCAAGTCATTGGGAATTTAGCATAATTTGTCAGGACCACATTTTTCCATTACTCTCATTAGGGAGAAGATGAAAATTGTACCAACTAATGCACACTTCATTGAGAAAACAAGTTACTTTGATCCCTCCTTGAGCTTGATAATCCCTTTTTTTTTAAATAAAAATATTTAGATGATATTTTAGCTTTTTTGCTGTCTTAAATCCACATATGAAAATTAAATTGAAGAAATAAAATTACTAGATGTTTAAAGCTTAAATGTCACCTTTGAGTATGTGATTTTGATTTGGAGCACAAATTATCTAATGACTATTATTCTGCATTTCTTTTTATTTCTATTTATATAGACACCACTATATCAGTTTAAAATATATTCATATGAAAATATCTCATAAATTAGAATTACTTATGAAAATGTCCTGTCTAAATATGTTCCTACCCATCAGTCCTGTAATAAGTAACTTACTACAAGTAAAATGACTTAGAGAAAAAGAAGAAAAATAAAAGATAACTTTCCTATGAGGAAATAATATAATGGTCATTCCAATATTTCTGGTTACACTGTGGACTAATTAAATTCAAGTTATTTCTGTGCATTAATTTTGCACAGATGTGTGAATCAACTTGCAATAAATAATTCAACCATTCAACATACTCTGAATCTGCAAAGTAAAAAACTATTAAATATGTCAAATTTGGCCAAATCATTAATTTCACCTATGTATATATATTTATATGTGAATATAATATTATTTTAATCTATGAATTAAAGCTTTAAATATGTTATTTTGTACTCCATGATTACATTTTGAAAAATTATTTTTCCATGTCAAATAGAAAGAGAATTCATGTATGGTATACACAAGTAAAGCAACACATTATGAAAAGAAGTTATTTGAAAAAAGACACTGAGAATAATAATTTTGCAATAAAACTAAAATATTATATCAAATAATTATAAGAGGCATAATTATATATACATAATTTTACATCTATTATTTGTATAATTACTCCCAAATATGGCACAGGTTATGTTTGGTATCATGTATCTTCTTCAACTTCTGTCCCTCCAAATCAACCCTCTTAAAGCTCTGCCCCGGCCCATCATTTTTATCTTCCTTGTCTAATCATATTACCCAATGAATGGCTCTCTTTTTACCTTTTTGTTGATAATACAGCTCTTATACTTTTGGTTTTTCTCTTAAGCTGAAGATTTGAATTCAGTCCATGCATTAATGAAAGTCTAACTCAGATATGGACTCCACCAATGAAGTTTCAATATTGCTGCTCACTCAAACCCCTCTCTCATTCTCGGGAGTCCCAGGAAGATTTTGGCTGTGGGGTCCTCAATTCATCCTATTCTTAACATATGTCATGTCCTCCATTTTTAAGTTGTATTACAAATGTCTTATTTCCTTTGACTAAACTGTATGCATCCTGACAGCACGGTGTGTTATCGTGTGCTAAGACCAATTCCTTGAATATCGCATGAACTCCAGAAATACTTGTTAAATAATATGTAAAATCTTTATCAACATCAACGTATCCTCTTACCCACTGTGTTAGATATGGGGAGAGCTTTATATTTTGTATCTCCCTCCTCCTCACTTCTTTCCACAGGTATTTACTCTTCCCACAGAGAGTGATTAACTATGTAAGCCGAGAACACATTTTGAGACTCAACTGAGTTTGTATTGCTTAAGTGACCTTAGGTACATCATTTACCTCTATTTGTGAAATATTAAAGGCTTAATCTATCAACCCCTCTGAGTTGCTGTGAGGATTATCTAATGCAATTTGCTTTGCACAGACATGTTCTGAAGAAAGGTTTTGATAAACAGACACTGGCAGTTCTTGGTATTCCAGTCCGGGCCAGCAATGCCTGAAGCTGCTGAGGGGCCTGGCTGCCTCTCCACTGGGACAACATCGGAATGTCCTCACTTTTAGTTACTTGGCTAGCACCTTCATGACAAAAAGTCTTTACGGTCTCTGCTTTTCTCACAGAGTGAGAGTAATTGTTTGGACATGATCTCCTTACCGGCTGACTTCAAGTCATGGAGAACTTTTTTGGCAGCTGATGTGAAACATTCTGGTCAGACATGTTTGGGGCCTCAAGTCACAGACCTGTGTTTATTTTTATTGAAAAAGAGCAGACCAGGGAGACTTGGCCCCATGGCCTTTATTCTAGTAGCACACAACAGCAGAGCCCTGAGTCCAACGATAGAGAGAAAAATGTTTCAAGTATTTTCACCAAAGAACACAAGAAGATTACCAGGTTTTAGTCTGAGCAAAAGATTGCTCTTCTAGGTACATTACACAGATGTAAGCCAATGAAGATTTCTTTTTTGAAAAAAGTCACACTAGTTACTCTGAAAAATATCCTAAACACATCTCAGCTTAAATAGTCAGAGAAGTTTTGCCTTTTCCTAGAAATAACTGAGTCTATCCCCCACCCCCAATCCATGCCTTACCCTTTACAAACACCAAAACTTCTCTTTTTTGAAAGACGATAGTGTGGAATATAGGTTTCTTTACTGAATTTTGCATATTTTTTCATGTATATTCACAGACCATATTTGAAACCTCTGATTAATACTGGCGTATACTCCTTTCTTTGTGACAAGACGTGAGTCTTCTTACATATCCTTCCTTAGGCCCTGTTCATGCACTGATCATTTTTATTGTCATGAAGAGATGGGCCACAGTTTGCATATATTGACCACTTTCTGTGAGCTCATCACTATGCCAGGAGCTTTACATCACTTCCTTTCATCTTCACAACTACCCTCAAAGGCAGATAGCATTATACTGATTTTAAAGGTGAGAAGATTGATTCTCTGAGAGGCCCAAAGAAAAACTGCTAAATAACAATGAAGCCAACATTTATATTTAAGGCAGGCTGACTGTAGTTTTCACATTCTTTCCATTATACAACAAGAATGAATAAATAAATACCCATAAATAACACACAAACACACATATGTATATCTACACACAGAACACCTGTTGTTGAGGCTTCACGGCACCTAAAATAATCTGATATTAGACAAAAACCAATTTGTCATTTCAGTGATTAGCAGATGACGTAAGTACTACTGAAACAAAATACTTGTCGTATTATCACTGGTTCTTTTAGAAAGTCATAGGCACAGATTCATATACAGAAACATTTCCATGACTCACATATACAAAGGAAGACCTGTGGAAAAACTCTTTCCCCCAGTCTGCTGATTTAATCTCTTTTCTTTCATATCTCCAGGTGGCTCTAATCCAGCAGACTATGGCACTAGAAGGACAGGCTGGCAGATGCTCAATGGGCACAAGTGTTCAGGCTGAAAGATGTTGAGCAAGCATTTGGAATGGAGATGGGGTAAGAAGTAGTTACTATCTCCCAGATTCTGGATGGAGAACCTCGGTCCCAAGCAGAACTAGCAGCCTTCCTGACCAAGAGCTCAACCACTGATGGACTGGAACAGGGTGGCTGATTATCCCCGACCACAGCAGAGATTGTTTGCACAGTCTACAGCAAAGCTGAGCCTATAGATGATTAAATGCTCACAGCTTCAAAGATTAGAGGGCTAAAGGCGGCAGGAGTAATTCAAGGAACACCAATCCTGCTCTTTCCTATCTGTATTTTAGCCTTCTTGTTTAAGCCTTCCAGAGCATGATTACTCTTCAGCAGACCATGGTAATATGTGCTTGGGAAAAAACAAAATTAAACTAGTGTTTCAGGAATTCTTTCATAATGTAATCTGAACCAGTCCTTATTAATGAGGCCAAAGTATTTCCCATCCAACTGAAGTCCTGCAATTATTTAAATGTGTAAGTGAAACCATTCTTTATACCTTCATTCACAGTCCATTTAAGTCAGAAACTGAGTTTACTTGGTTTACTAACTGGGCATTAGGCACCATTTGAGCAGCTTAAGAACTATCAACAATTGCAATGGTCCATAATAAATATATATACAATTATATCTATATAGACTGTCCTTCATAGTTAAAAATGATGTTGTTGATTCAGGTACTAATCACATGATTCACTGTAACCGCACAGATAAAATTTAGTGTATATATGCTTGAGGATTTGCCATTTAAAGAGCATTTACATTGTCTCATTTATTACTCAACATAACCCAGGTAATTTGGTGTCGTTATTATTATTACTACTATTTTACCATGAAGGAAACAAGATTCAGAGATACATACTGATAATTGTGGGTTATTTGAACTCAGATAATGTGAGACCATATAATCAGGAAGCAGGAGACCAAAGCTCTTTACATATAATGTATATATGCGTACCATAAATAAGCATGATTATTTCTTTCATAATTACTCTCCAAAATTCTGTTAGCTATCATACTTGAGTATCGGTCATTTATATGAAATACAACACCCATTTTAAGAATGGTCATTTTATGTCATTAAATCTACATGTAGATGAATTATTCTTTTATCAGTTCTTTCATTGGAGTATTTAAGTTATTTATTTGAGGCATTTAGTTATTATTTGTGAATATAATAGAATTTTGCAGCAAAGGATATAAAAATAACATTTTTCAAGTCTAATGTGATTCACATTTTATTTTAAATTTAATCATATGTTTAATTTAAAAATATACTATACAGTTCATGTGTATCAACAGTTTTCTTCAAGTCACAGTATATTAAAAGTAGGCATTTTAATTTAAGTGTATTCTTAGAGGTTGAAAAATATTGGAAAACTTTAATAATGTAATTTCATACCTTGATGCCTAGTATTCAAAGCCTTGTAGATTTTCACTGTTATAAAAGAGAGCTCATGAAAATTATTTGATTATGTCATTTTGGACAGAGAAGAAGAAAGGTTTTTATTGACTTCATTCCTTTCAAATCACTTTGCCTTGGAAATATTTCTGAAAGATTGCTCAGAGTAATTAATATGAGGGAAGAGTAGACTATAGTACAGGAGAACTGACTAGAAATTCCTAATGTAGCCTCTCCCGAAATCCCAGTAAAGATCCATAAATGCCTAAAAAAGATAAAAAGTCACAAAACTTTAATAAAAAAAGTTAAGTAAGCTATTGCCAAAAGTTGGGAGAATATTTTACTACCCACAAAATCTATGTAGTTGTATGAAACAGCACAATTTGCCATTATGCATATGGTGCTAAAACAAGGATCCTATAGGCCTGATAAAAAAGAGAAATATAATTTCTCCCTCTATCATTGCTTGTCTTGGAAGCAGATAGCCCTGCCCTAAGAAAGCTTTGCTCCATAGGTATCTTATTTCGACATAAATTATTGTTTCTAATTTTTCATGTTTAAATTTCCCCTACAATTCAGAAAGTAAATCCCCAGAAAACAAAAAGACAAGAAATAGGGAGATGCTGATGGAAATCTATTTTATCTTTGAGGTATAACCACAATAAATTTAGCACTGTGGATAGGAGCGGTGACAGGAGGATGTTTGTTGGTGGGAAATACTGATAATTGTAGGTTATTTGAACTTAACTGGTTTCATGTCAGTGAATCATGCAATGAATGCTGGAGACAAACCTAACTCAGTCCAGCAGAGACATGCTTAAAATCTGTTCTACAGGCATAGATTGAGAATGGGATTTTAGTGATATTTAAATATAAGTGGTAATTAAGAAAGTTGTATATATCAACTGTTAGAAAAATACTGAGTATGATTCTATCATTTCCAATTTCAGAACCCGCAAAAAATGTTAGGCTACTATTTGGTATTGAAACAATAGGCAGGAATACGTGATTTATGTCAATCAAGAGAACAGAGAGTCATATAAGAATCATACTGAGTTGTAAAGAAAGTAAGATAAGGTAAAACATGAGATGAGTAACATAAGAAAAGATAATCGGTAAACTAAAATTAACAATAGTTAAATTAAAATCTGGACTGTGGATATTAAAGCAGAAAACTGGCTTACTATGTAGGAAGCAAACTTTAAAAGTTTTTTTTGGAATAATAGGGAAATAAAAATTTATGACAGAAGTTGATGGAAAAAAGATGACACAAACATGGAAACTAATATTTTTGGGAGAGAGAGAGAGAAAGACTAGGAAAAATATATATCAGAAGCAATAATCAAAATGTTTTTAAAAAGAGAAAAGCATGGTTTTTTAGACAGGAAACACTTCATGCTTAGAAGCATTATTATAGCTAAAGTTTAAATTAGAGTTTATAAACATCTCCAAACATCCAAGCTAAAAAAAAAATAGGTTACCTACAGATAAACAAAATTAAGTCTTGCCTGAGACTTCTCCTTCACATTATTGAACAACATGAGGCCCTGCACTTTAAAGTCTACAGCAATCTTTGGGGAAATATTTGTGATTAAAATTTGAATAACATTTCAATTTTATATTAATAGGTGAAAAAAATTCATTCTCAGATATTTGGGGAGGATAAATTTAGCATCCATTTTACTTCTTGGGAAAAAATTATTTAAGACTTATTGGAGACCTATTTCAGGCAATTGAGTGATGAATCAAGATTACAAAGTCATGAAAGGGAAATAGGATATTGGATTTTTCTTAAATGTTACAATTCTGAACACTGAAATCAGTATTGCAATGATTATGAGTCAAAAAGTAATTCATGCTACTATAACTAACTACAAAATGTAATGCAGGAGTCAGAAATATTTTTGAAAGAAAAAATGTGATGCAAAATATAATAATTGATATTAATCTAAGTCTAAAATTATAAGGAACAAATTCTAAAAAGAAATTGAGAGTAAAATTTTACTAATTTCCCCAAGTTATTAGTAGAGTTTAAAAATACCGTTTTTGTCTTTTAAAATAATTTCTTAATTACTAAAAGACATATTCATTTGGGAAAATAAGCAACATAAATATGTGTATAATTTAAGTAGCAGATTCCCCACTTATACCCCCTGTCATGTAAACGATGTAACCACAAAAAACTAGTGTGGTTTGTATTTTCAAGAACTATAAAGAGTTAGGTAGAATATAGGAGAATGTATATGTGTGTGTGTGTGTGTGTATATATATAATATATATATAGGGAGAGAATGAGTATAATATCTGTATCTTTTGATATTGTACCTATATATTACATATGAAATTCAAAATTGTTTTTATAAATATTTTCTACAAAATTATATAATAGACATACTATTTTACAATTGGTTTTCTGCACTCAGAAAGCTATAATAGACATTCTTATTCACTAGATATACCTAAGTTTAAGAACATGTACATATTTAAATATGTAATCTTGATAATTTAACCATTTTTTATAATAAATTATAGATTGTCTCTAGATAGATATTATTAAATTAATGATGCAGTATACACTCTTGAACATACATCGTTGTATACCTATAGTATTTTTGGAAGATATGCTTCTAGAAGCACAATATTTGTTTTAGTGAATATGCATACTTTTTATCTCAAACAACACCATTTGGCCCTTTCTCAAGGAATTCAGCCTTTAACCTAAGCAAAAGCCCTAAGACTGACTCTCAGAACAACAAGAGTACCCCATCTGGTAATTTGCTCATGCTTCCTGAGCAAGGGACTACTAAAGCCACAAGGCAGGCATCCAGATGCATCCTTCCCCATATGTATATCATGGCTTGGGAGCTGTTAATGAAATTTTGTATTTACCTATCTTAGACAGTAAATATTTAGTTTTATTGAGGAAGGCACTGCAATGGATAGTAGTGATCACTTTAGATCCTTATTACAAATATCCACAAAATAGATGAGTAAGAACAACTATAATTTGGGGAAAATGTTTTAAAAATTATAAAACAAACAATAGAATTAAGAGTAATCAGGCTGAACCATGACAGAAAATATATCCTAAGAAAACAGATGTAATGTAGGAAATAAAATAATTAAATGTATGTCCCTAGAAAGATTCAACGATTCATTACAAACATAAAGCAAATGTATGCTGATATGAACCTCAAGCACACGAGAAAAATAAAATATAAAACAACACAGTCATGAAACAAAATAAATAGGGGTGCTGAAAAGTTGAACTGATACTACTTGATATTACTTAAAACTGAAATAATAATGTAGATTCAGACTGCAAGGGACAATAACAGCCAGATATCAATCAATATAAGTTATAATTAACTCTAAAGAATATTTAATGTCTGATATGATTTGACTCTGTGTCCCCACCCAAATCTCATCTTCAGTTATAATCCCCATGTGTTAGGGAGGGACCTGGTGGGAGGTGATTGGATCATGGGGGTGGTTTGCCCCATGCTGTTCTCATGATAGTGAGTGAGTTCTCACAAGACCTGATGGTTTTATAAGTGGTGGTTTCCCCTGCTCTTCTCTCTCCTGCCACTTTGTGAAGAAGGTGGCTGCTTTCCTTCTTCCATGACTGTAAGTTTTCTGAGGCCTCCCCAGCCACGTGGAATTGTGAGTGAATTAAACCTCTTTCCTTTGTAAATCACTCAGTCTCAGGGAAGTTCTTTATAGCAGTATTAAAATGAACTAATACAATGTCACAATTATTAATTGTCAGTTTTAAATAAGGATAGGCATAACATGAAAACAGTTTTACTATCTGGGAAAGAATTTCCAAATTGTTTCCATAAAGCTGAACAATGAAGAAAATTAAAAAAGAGGGGACGGGGATGCAAATAATACTGTCTTCGTTGAGGAAGAAATTACAGATACTAATTAAATTTTTTTAGTCAATTTTATTGAGGTATAATTAACATGCAATAAAGTGTTCCCTTTTAAGTGTATTTTTTGAGAATTGATAAACACCTGTGCAACCACCACCACAATAAAGATGTAGAATATTTCTTTTACAAAATATGTTCATTTTGTCCCTTTCGAACCTCCACTCATACATCTAACTCCAGGAAACCACTGACCTATTTTCTGTTACTGGAGATTTGATACCTTTTCTACAGTTCCCCATAAATTGAATCATACAGTGTGTGTGCTCTTTTATGTCTGGCTTCTTTTGACCAGCATATGTTTTTGAAATTCATCCATGTTTTTGCATCTATCAGTGATGTGTTTATATTTATTTCTGAATAATAATCCATTGTATAGATATACCACAATTTGTTCATTCCCCTCCTGATGGGCATTTGAGTTGATTCCTGTCTTAGGGCTATTATAATATTCAAAGCTTCTGTGTAAAGGTGTGAAAGCATGTGGTCATTTTCATAAGAGGAGGACACAGTTTTACCAATGGCTACAAGTGGTGGATTATAGGTATCCTATGTATTTAGCTGTTTTAGAACATACCAAACTTTCTTCCAAAGTGGTTTCAACATTTTTATTCTCACCAGAAATATATGGGAGTCCTGGTTGCTCCACATTTTCATCAACACTTAGTATCATCAGTATTTTTAAATATAGCCATTCTAATGAGGATTTAGGATCTACACATCTGTTACAGTATGACCATACACATCTGTTACAGTATGGCTCATTGGCCATACATATATCATATCATCTTTGGTGAAGTGTTTAATCCAATCTTTTGCTCAGTTTAATTGGGCAGTTTGGTATTTTTAAGAATGAAAGAGTTTCTTATGTATTTTTAATTTAATTTGTTTGTCAACTAAATTAATTATAAATATTTTCATTTTCTTAAGGGCTTCTTTTGTAAAGCAGAACTTTTTTAGTTTAATGAGGTCTAAATATTTTTTCTTTCATGATTCATGATTTTTCTATTTTAAGAAATGTTTGTCTACTCCAACTTTGAAAGATTTTCTTTGTTTTGAGAAGTGTTTTATAACCTTCATCATTATATTTTGTTTTAGATTACATTTTAGGTTTTGTAGAGGTATGAGAGAATAGTCAAAGTTTATTTTTCTTCAGTGTGGGTATCCAATTTGTTGAAAAAACTATGTATCCTATTGAATTGTTTGAGCAGATTTGTTGGTAATTGATTGACCATATTTGCACGGGTTATAAACATATTGTCTTTCAATTTATGAATATGGCATATCTTTTCATTTAATTAGGTCTTTCTTGATTTCTCTCTGCAGAATTTTGTAGTTTTCTCTTTTTTTTTGAGACAGAGTCTTGCTCTGTTACCCAGGCTGGAGTGCAGTGGCGTGATCTCGGCTCACTGCATGCTCCGCCTCCCGGGTTCAGGCCATTCTCCTGCCTCAGCTTCCCTAGCAAGAATTTTGTAGTTTTCATTGAACAAAACTTATTTACATTTATCTCTATGTATTTCAAGCCTTTGGATAGTATTTAAAGTGATTATTTTATTTCAATTTCCAGTTGTTTGGTGTAATTATATAAAATAAAAATTGAGTTTTGCGTAATAGTCTAATGTCCTGAGATCTTACTAAACTCACTTATTAGTTCTAATAACAATTTTTTTATAGTTTCTTTAGGATTTTCTATGTATACCATTAAGTTATCTATGAATAAAGACAGCAATACTTATTCTCCGATTTCATATTGTTTATTTTTTACTTATCTTGTTGCACTAGCTAAGACCTCCAATTGAACGCTGAATAGGAGTGGTAAGAGTGGACCTTCTTGGCTTGTTCCTAATCTTAAGGAGAAAGCATTTCATCTGACCCTGTGAAGTATGATAGCATAGTTTTGTTTTGTTTTGTTTTTCAATAGATGCTCTTTCAGGCTAAGGAAGTGGCCTTCTATATCTAGTTTCTAAAGGGTCTTATAATAAATGAGTGTTGAATTTTGTCCAGTGCTATTTCTGTATCTATTGAGATAATAATTTGTTGTCTATTTTATTCTGTGAGTATGATAAATTATATTCATTGATATTTGAATGGTAATTCAAAATCGCATTTTTGTGTTAAAATTTAGCTTGATTTGATTTGCTAATAATATCTTAAAGATTTCTAGGTGTATGTTTGTGAGAGATATTGATGTGTTTTATAATATAATTGTGAATTTAAAATATTATAGTGAGTGTGACCTCAAAAAATGTTAGATTTTTTGAAAATCTAAATTTTTTGAAAATCTAAATTATTTGAAAATTTTTTTCTATATATATTTGAAAGCTATCACCCAGGAATCAGATATCAGCCCTAATGTCCTCAGCATTCCATAGAGTAAATATTTCTGTCATGGCACATTTTAAGCTTCTAAAGTGACATCCCTGAAAGCAGAGTTGCAAAAAGATGTGCAGGAGCATATGCCATTATATAGTGTTTTCATCATATACAGACAACAGCTATAAATAATGTCAAGAGGATTGATAACAGAAAAAATATATTAAGGTAATTAAAAGATAATAACACTTTTTGTATTTCTTTCCTTTGGCTTCAATATAATCTATTTAAGTGTAGTTTATGTAACTTAATTTTTAAAGATGGTTATATTTAAACAATCAGCTTGCACAATTTTTGAAAAATGTCTGTTATCTGTTCTGAGTTGCAATGCCGAGTATAGAGTAGCTGTATTAGTTACCTATTGCTGCTATTATAAATTACCAAAGTTTGGTGGCCTAGAAGACACAGTGCTTATTTTCTTCCAGAGGTTGAAACTCTGAAATGGGTTTTAATAAGTTAAAATCAAAGTGTGAACATGTCTGTGTTCCTTTTGGAAACTCCAGGGGAAAATCTGTTCTCTTACTTTTTCTAACTTCTAGAGGCCATCTTCTTTCTTAGCTTGTG
This sequence comes from Homo sapiens, assembly GCF_000001405.40. Classification (NCBI taxonomy): domain Eukaryota; kingdom Metazoa; phylum Chordata; class Mammalia; order Primates; family Hominidae; genus Homo; species Homo sapiens. Next base: position 59,363,235 of record NC_000002.12, read on the forward strand.
ACCATTTTCAAAGACAGCAGCCTTGCATCTTTCAGTTTGTTTTGTTTGTTTGTTTTCTGATTAAACTGTAATGCCTCCTCTTTCACTTAAAGAATGCTTGTGGGCCAGGTGTGGTGGTTCAAGCCTGTAATCCCAGCACTTTGGGAGGCCAGGGTGGGCAGATCACCTGAGCTCAGGAGTTTGATACCAGCCTGGCCAACATGGTGAAACCCTGTCTCTACTAAAAATACAAAAATTAGCCGAGTGTGGTGGCAGGCGCCTGTAATCCCAGCTACTTATGAGGCTGAGGCAGGAAAATTGCTTGAACCTGGAAGGTGGAGGTTGCAGTGAGCCGAAATCGCGCCATTGCACTCCAGCCTGGGGGACAAGAGTGAAACTCCGTCTGGAAAAAAAAAAAAAAGGAACTCTGGTGATTGCATTGAGCTTATGTGTGTCTAATCCAAGATGATCTCCCCATCTCAGAATCTTTAACTTAATCATACTCACAAAGTTTCTGTTTGCCTTGTAAGGTAACATATTCACAGATTCTAGAAACTAAGACATCGGCATTTTTGGAGGCCAGTGTTCTACCTGCCACAGCAGCTTTTGCTATTACTATGTTTAATCCACTGATATCTCCATTCTGGCAAAGGAAAACTTGAATAATTCTCAGCCCTGTGTGAGTTTTTACAATATTTCTGCTTATAGTTCTCTAGTAATATTCTTCTTCCACAAGTTAATTTTTGTCTGGCCTCATGGAGTTTTATGGTATGCATGTACAGATTAGTATTCAGCCGAGGATTCAAAGGAATACCAAGCAGCTTTTGGAATCTTTTTCTTTTTATAGTCAGCTTCTTTCTAGTACTTTTCCTCTCAAATTTTAGCCTCCTCCATATTACTGAATACTAATCTGTCTCCTCAACTCAGTGAAATCTCTGGGTACTGTTTGAGATTACCCTTCCTTGTGGCCCATTTTGGAAACTGGCTTCAGACAGAAAGCTGAGGCAATGACAGGACTAACCTCATTTGTTTCTACCTTCTCTTTGAAATCACAGTCCAACTCTGCTTATAAACCAATGTCTAAAAATAGTTACTTCATGTATTTTGTCTAGCTGTTTTTTACTACAGGATGTCAAGTTTGGATTATGTTACTCTCTTAAGCGAGGAAACAAAAGTTGATATAAATTTTTAGTTGAACATTTAGTTCAAATTGTATTCATACATTTAGAGAAAACTATTAGAAAATAAATTAAAATTATTATTTGCAAACACTAGGAGAACTGAAATGCAAAGAAAAAAGAGAAAATTAAAAATTCAAAATGCAATAATTTAAAAACTCAGAAAATGCAAACAAAATAAATAGACAATAAATGTGAAGTGAATAGATTGAATTATCTGAGAAAAGTCAGTCATGCTTAGATTGGATTTAAAAATAAAACCACATGTTCTTTAAAAGATATAATGGATATAATCAAAATAGTAATCAAACGGTTTGAAAGTAAATGGTGAAATAATCTCATTCTTAATTCTGCTACATAGAAATATAGTCTTGTGTTATTTAAATGTTAACAATAAATTGAACAAAAGTCATGTTAAAACAGAAATAATATTATTGGATAAGATTAAAACTAAGATACATTTCTCATAATACAATATACAAGACCCTTATCTCTAAAAAATAAAGGAAATAAAACATTAACAAATATTAAGAATTATAAAAATATAGCAAACATACCAATTATTACAATAAATGTAAATGGATAAAGCTCAAAACATCTGTGTTTGACATTAATAAAAGGCCATGTATATGCTACCCACTCCTAAAAGATGCCACAGTAACTAGAGGTGTATAAAAACAATATTGGGTAAAAATATACCAATCAAACAAAAATTTTAAATGGCAATATTAATATCAATAAATAGAATTCTAGAAAAATCAGGACAATAAATAATAAGTCAGTAAATCGCATGTAATTTAAAAAATAACAAAGATAGGGCTATTGCATTGAAAATATTAAAACTATGAATTTATGATGCTTTCTTTTTTTAACATCTATTTTAGGTTCAGGGTTATATGTGCAGTTTGTTATATAGGTAAACTCATGTCACAGGGCTTTGTTGTGCAGAATAGTTCATTACCCAGGTACTAAGCCTAATACCCAATAGTCCTTTGTTCTGATCCTCTATCTTCTCCCACCCTTCACCCTCAAATTGGCCCCTGTATCTGTTGTTCCCCTCTTTGTGTCCATGTGTTCTCATCATTTAGCTCCCACTTATAAGTGAGAACAATTCATGATGCTTTCTACTTCAAAATATAAACTGACTGAAGGCCAAGGGAAGGCGGAAATAATACACTGCAAAAATTAATAAATATCTCATTTCTATACTGTAAATTTATACAATACTAACAAGATGAAGAAGTTACTATTTTTGAAGAGAGTAAGACATAGCAAATCAAAACACATGAGTTCCAGCAATTATGAGGATTTTGAGAAATAGTTAATAATAGCTAACATATTTTGAGTGCTTACCTAGTTTCATACAGTGTTCTAACCCTTTAAATGAATTTGAATTAAACTATTTAATTCTCAGGTAAAACAACATAAGAAAGGAAGATTTTACATAAGGAAACTGAGGCAGTGAGACGTTAAGTAATTTTTTCAAGGTTAAACAGATGGTAAGTGGCAGAACTGCAATTAGAAGAAAAATCTGGCTCTAGAGTCTCTGTCCTAACCATTACACTGCACTACTTCTCATTTAGAAGATTTTATGTGAAACTAAAAAGTAGGAAAAAAGCCAATTGCATAGAAAAATATATGAAAACTTTATGTGCTAGCTCAAAGAAAGATTTTAAGATCAGACAAATCTTACAAATAATTATTCTCCCAAACTTGCAAGGCTCTACTATCATGTGATCAGGAATTAACACAAGCACCCAGAGAAAAACAATGCTATATTGGAATAAAGGAAGCAAGGAGAGAGGGAGGGGGAGAGAAGAAGGAAGAAGGGAGAAAGGGAGGGAGGAAGGGAGGAACGGAGGAAGGGAGGAAGGGAGGGAGGGAGAGAGGGAGGGAAAAGAAAGAGAAGAAGAGAGAGGGAGGGAGGAAGGGATAAATAGGGGAAGGCAGAGAGGTAGGAAGATAAGAAGTGTACCCACAATAGCTAAATTTTAGTGTCAATAGATTTTGTTGCTGAAACAGTGAGGAGGAAAAATAATAAACATGATGGAAATGTATAAGAAATACATTCATGAAGTGATAGAAAATTAAAGAGATTTTACTGGAACAAAAGCCAGATGTAAGTAATGTCAGGATTTTCTTTGTGATGCTCATGTATTATAAGTATGCATTTATATTTATGTAATTATTATTAGTAATCCTTCAGTGTAGGAAACACTAATTTAAATCTGAAAAATGTTTAACCAGTAAGTACTGCTTTTAAATTGAAATAATTGTTTAAGTAATGGAATCTATAAAATCATAAGGTTTCTTAGGAAGGCAACTGTGGTATTATGGCAGAACAGAATGTGTATGTCTTTACCATAAATAAACAACTATGTCTAAAACTGACAGCAAACATAATACTTAAAAATAAATACCAAATAAGGTCATCAAAAAGTTTATTGAGGAAAAAAAACCCTGACCCCTGCCATCATTATTTCTGAACACTTTCTGAACAAGTCATGTGATTAGAAACCAGAATTAAAAGTGTAATCAATGATAGAGCACAATTGTGTTAATTATTTATAGATGTCATCTTTACGACATAGAACAATCAGTAGAAACAAGTGAAAATTTATTATTAGATGAGAAAATAGCCAGATAAAAGATAAGCACACATAGAAATATTTACCTTCACAATGCCAATAACCAATTGCAAAGTAAGTTATAGAGTTTTCTCCACAAAAAATGTGTTTGTTATGTTTGTGTATGTGTAGGTATAAATGTCTGTGTGTTTATACATGCATGTGTGTGTATGCATCAAGAAATAATACTTAAACAAAATCCCTTTCCCCACAATTACTTGTTGGCCACTTATCTTGTTTTTTCTTATAGCACCTAACGTGTCATATAATTGTTTAAAAAGTTATAATCTTTCTCCCCCAGAATAACGAAAGCTCCAGGAGAGGATGATGTTTTTTCATTGCTCTGCTTAGTGACTGCCACACAGTGCACATTCAATAAATAATTGTGATGCTGGTTATTGTAGCAGGAATAAAGAATACCTTACAGATGTGTTCATCTCTATCCTAGTTGAATAATCTAAATATTGCAAAGATGCCAATCTAATATATTTAAAAATAGTTCTTTGGTGTCTCAATGAATACTTTATTTTTCAAATAGATAAAAAATATTCAGTATTACAACTAGAGAAAGAAACAGGAAGAAACCACTAAGAATAGGCTGGAAAAGAACAGAGTTGAAACTTTCTCTAGTAGATTTTAAGGTAATGTTTTCATTTGTGCCAAAATTAGCAGATGCATCAATGGTGTCTAATAAATAGCTCTAAAATTAATTCTAATCAAAATAAGAATTTAGCTAATGAAAAAGGAAAGATCACAGAATAATAAAAGAAGAACTGCTTATTCAATACATGGAATCAGGAAAAAATTGAAGAAAAAATATATATTGATGTAAATCCTAAATATACTGAAAAATTAAACATAACATGAATATCATATAACATAAGGAGAAAACACAGATGAATATTGAATGACTGTGGAATAGGAAAATGCTTTCCACACATTCAAAAAGGCAGAAACTTTGTATCAAAAATACCATAAATATTAAATATCAAAGAGGAAACTGAGAAAAATTTATTCTTATCAAACATTCAGGAGTTACCATTCTTAATATCAAATGAGCTCTTACAAATTAATATATTATCACAAATTAATATAGTAAGCATTATAGTGAGAAATGTGCAACAATAATAGAAGCAAATAATTTGTGCATACACAAAAATTCAGATATCCAATAAATACATAAAAATTACTCAGCAATGGCATTTTACTTTTAATTTGCCAAGGAGTAAATGATTTTTAGAATTATTAATATTCGGTAATGGTTAGTGTGTAAGTGTGGGAGATGGGCAATAGTAGGCTAATAAATTTTAACAACTGGCTGTTATTGGCTGATATTTAAATTTAAAGTTAATGAGTAAGACAAGAGTAAAAAAAGGACAAAAGTCAGAATGTCACTCAATAAGAAAGCAACTTGTTTACATAGGATGATCAATTGTTTAAATAGTGGAGTAGATGAATTATCTGATCAAAGTTTACTACTACTCATAATGTAACCACTAAAGATGTGACATATTTTAAATGTAAACCTGCATTATTAATATTTTCTCCATTGCTTTATTGAGACTTAACTGCAAAACAATAATTCAGACTCTGGTTTGTAGTATTTGTTGTATTGCTGTAGTGAAATGATCCCACCATAGCTGATTTCAAACTGCTAATATGAAGTTGCTAAAAGACACACCATACTACCTCATTATATAGTATTTCCACCAAACAGACACCCCAGATGTAAATATTAGAAAGTGATGGGTTTTATCGTATTATGGGGGAAACTGTGTGTTTTATTTAAACTGGAAGGAAATTGTATGTTATTTGATCTTATATTTGTAAGTTCTGTTGCATGTATATGTATGTGTGTGTGTGTGTTTATTCATGTGTATTTTGGGTTATGTATGTTTACATTTGTTTACCTAGGTAGTATATTTGTATACAATTTGAATGTCCCTATTTCCATTTTTCTGTTATTTTTCAAATTTTCTACAATTAGCAAGTACTTTTCAGTTACCGCACAAATATTTACTATCTTGCAGCTCTTTCATTGTAAGCCTGAAAGAACTAATTCCTGTTAAACATATTTTGCTTCATGTCTTCCAGGTTTTAAGAGGGAGAGAAAAAGGGAGGATACCCCCAAAATACTATGTTATTCAAAAGATCAAGTGCTGCGAAATGTGTACATTTAGCTTAATTTTGCAAACTCTAAACAGATTATAAATTCAATTTAAATAGCACACCAAGCCCAGTCCAGTCTCTACAGTCTTCCAAACCACATTTTTAGGCCCTTTACCAAATTAGAAGTGGTCTTGAATTGCAAAATTGAGGTTTTTTTGATCCATTAAACTGAATGCTGCGTAACAGTCGTTATCCCTGAGAATGGTGTAGCATATATGCTGAATCTGTATTTCCATATACATTTTTGCACATACTGATTATAGAGAAGGCAATAAGCTCTACTTTGTTTCATTAGTTCAGTAAAAGAGGTGTTCAGGATTATTCAGTATAATTCACAGCACTTAAGAAAGCATGTATTTTCTTAATACTCTAAATCTATTGCTTTCAGTAGTAACTCAAGCATATTATGACTGGTTTGCTGTAGCACTGTCATTTTAAAATTGTGGTGGTACTATTTTCCCTCATTGTAACTGACCAATATAAGAATTGATTTAGTATAGTATTTTTATCAAAATTACTTTTTTATTAGGTGCATTGTGTGCACCTAATACACAATGTTGTGATTGTTTGTACTGCTGTCATAGAGGAGGTATCTGTACTTTTAAACCAGTTATAACTTGAACTGTTTTTAAGCTGAAAACTGGTCAGCCAACACACACACACACACACACACACACACACACACACACACACTGGTTTATGTGTGTGTATATATTTATCAGGAATGTGACTTTTACCTAGTGAATTTTACCAAATGGCAGAATTTGGGATTTGTTTATTTTTGATAGTCAAAGAGATCAAATGTAAGTATTTTAATATTGCTAAATATTTCACTTCTCCATAGGCAGATGATTTTCCGAAAATATATATACCCCATATTATTAAAATTGCTGGAAACACATGATCTTCAATCCCTTATTACTGACAAGTTAGCTTCTCTGATATCCAATAATAAAAAGAATGCTGTTAAATATATTACTGATGTAGTTGTTCCTGGTGGAAGTTTTATCGTAAACAGAACTATCCATTTTAGAATCAGAAACCAACATCCACTACATTAAAACAGAAAAAGCCTATTTTATCAGAGTTGCCCTCTGTTCTCAAAATTCACATCTAGTTGGCTGATGCTATCTTAGATAGCTACAAAGTAACTAGAGTATTCTTGAACATTGTTTAAACCTTTTTAGTTATCTCTGTTTAATCAATTTATGTTTTTATTTTCATATTCTTTTCTACAGAGATCACTGTATCAGAAAGTTTGAGATACAATCTACTTTGTACACAGCATGGGATATGTATGTTGTAGTTTTACCTCTAGATATTTCATGCTTTTCAAATTAACTCTGCAAAGAGCAAGTGATGAAGGAGATCTGACTTCTACAAAATGACAAATACAGGTGAAGTGTTGCAAGTAGATAAAATTAGGCAAAATCATTATGGTCATTACTTTCTTCAAGAAGGCTTAGATATGCCTCTGATTTTGGACAAAGGCTCAGTCTAACTAAAAAAACTAAGGTAATTTCATTAAAATTTAGTAGATTGTTGTAAAAAGTTGATCTTGGTTATTTGGAACTCAATAAGTAAAACAGAACAAAATAGACAAAACTCAACATGATGGCCAGAATTAATGGTTTTCTTGAAAGTTTAACATTCCCAGTGAAAATTAAAGGTACCTGGTAGCTCTATCATTTGAATTGTCCCATTAATTCCATAACAATTATTTATTTCATAGCATTTTATAGCAGTGAAATAATGTGCCAACCATTAAATGTATGGCCAAAAGTTAATTAAATGTGTTTTCGAGTTAACAGATGACACAAGAGCCAAAATAAACTGAAAAGGCAAAAAGTTTAATTTAGTACTGGTCATTTAATTGAGTAGTGTCTATGAGTGAGAAATTTGTTTTTTATGGATATTTTAAACTCCTGGTAACAGAGAGACATCTAATTTACTAAATGTGAAGTCATCACATTTTAGCTCATATTGACTTTAAAGCATCAGACCGCTTTATTCCATTACAGTCTTGCTCAGCCCCGAGATAAAGAAAAAGACAGGTTGTGAAAAGTCTAGGAAATGACCACCATGCAGATTTCATGCTGTTGCAGAACAGAATGGAAACAAAATAAAACAAACAAAAAAAAGATTTGAAGAGAAAATGAGGAGTTTAACCAAACAAACAAAGTTTGCAGTTAAGGAAGAGGAATTAAAAGAAAATATTAAAAATGCATACACACATAACATCTAGATAGTAGATAAAATCTCACACATGCCCAGCAACAACAGAAGCACCAGGTTTGATAATGAAAAAAGAAAAGGATGAATTAAATTTGATAACTGACAAATGTGAAATGCCAATGGAATGTTCAAGTAGCAATATCTAGAAAGTAGTTGGTATTTTGAGAGAGAAAATTGGGCACATTCTAGAGTACAAGATATATATATATAAGGTATACATTTTGAAAACAGAGATAAGTTGCAGCCTGGAGTTTTATTAAGAGTGATAAATTATTAGGGCTTATAGAAGAAGAAAAGCGAGCCATTGGCCCGCTCTTTCATTGTACACCCCTACATATTTGGAATGATATATGTTATCAATTACAGTGATTTTGCAAGAGCAATATATTGGAAACAAATGAAATGTTCATCAGTAGAGGAATGGTCAGATAAACTAGGATATAATAACAAAAGGACTCATTATGCAGTTTTTGGAGAGGTAGCAATATAATACAATTACCAGGATATATAGTTAAGTTAAAAAAAAAAAAGGCGTGGAGCAGAATATTGCATGAAGTATATGAACCTTTGTGTAAAAAAGTTTGGGAAAGTAGAATATATATTTTATTTGCTGGCATCTGAAAAAAAAGACAAGAAATATACAAAACTAATAAAGGTAGTCATACATGATGGAAAGGAAAAATGGGAAAAATAAGGACAGATTGGAAGAGAATCTTGTCAGTATACACCTTGTGACTTTTGTTTGTGAACCATGAAAATACATTTTTTATTAAAAAATGATAAATAAGACTTAAAAAACATATTGAATGTGAGAGACATGGAGACCACAAGAACAGATTCTCCAGGATGAAAATAAAGCATGAAGACAACACGAAAACCTCTCAAAACTGAGAGGTAAGAAAAGAACCAAGAGAATGAAATGTGTCAGGGTAGTTAGAGAATGTCTAGGAGGAAAAGAAGATCATTAGTATTTTCAAATGCTGCCAAAAGAATGTGGATTATGAGACCTAAAGAGAACAAAGAGAACAAGGTAGAGGTCACCAATGACAAGCATTTTCCTTCCTATAGATAACACTGTTGGTGGCACAGTGCATCTACCTGTCTGTGTTGCCATTAGCATTTAAATGTTTGCCACATAGCAGCAAAGATTCTTTAGAACTAGTCACTAGATCCTGGTCTCCCTTCATTATTTTTATTAAAAATGCCCCATTTTAAAGTTAAAAAAAAACAAATAGTAAACCTGACAGATTAGAAAATAATTCTTATAAATAGTAAAATCTAACATTCATTTCAGCCTTTTCTTAAAAATAAAAAATAAAAGCCTATTTGGTATAAGAAAAAGTATTTTACATGAATGTTTTCTCCTGAAACTGTAGTTTTTTAGGAATAAAAAATAAACATTTTGGTGGAATGCTGAGGTCAGAAAGTTGAAACTAACTTTAAGGTAAAATTACCCCTTGAAAAGTTAATTTTATCCTGGCATATAGTTGATTAAAGTAAGATATAAGTATTGGGGATTTGATGAGGCTCTGGAATTTTAAAAGTGTAAACTAAAAAAAAAAAAAAAAAGTGAATCACTGAATCCATTTTTTTTCTGAAAATTTTCAGAAATTTATAAGCTACTAAAATTTTTAAGGAATTTATAAGCTACCAAAAAAAGTAATTTGGATTCTTTAGTTGAATGACCTATGATTTTTTTAATGCTACTATTGTTTTGTTGTAGCTGTTTTTAATTTTTAGTCTTTAAAATTATTCAGTTTTTTTGTGGGGAGAGAACATTTCCCTTTGAAACCATAATCTTGCTAAATATATGCTCTCTCTTCAACATGTTTTGTAAATGGTGAAAGCATTCACTAACTAGAAAAGGTGATACATAAAGGATTTCTTAATTAAGTAAAGTTTCCTAGATAATTCTCCTGTTACATCAAAGTAAACTAAAGCTTTCCCAAACTCAATCTCCAAAGGCAGGAAGTCATGGAATCATGAAAATATTTGCATAATATTTACATTTGAATTGTTAATTTTATTTTGATTGTATTTTTAATTTTAAGTTAACTTTCTAAAAAATTTATTAAGTATAATAATTTTTGCATTTTAAAAAATGCTTTGTTGTTACGCCTGCTCTCCACTTAGATCCTCAAGTTCAAAGCTGTTTGGAACAGTTGGAAATTAACTGATCTGATCAACTGATTAGTCCTCAGATGTGAGTACCTCTTAATGGTTGAATTACTACCCTTTCTAGAGCAGCTGATACATGGTTTGCCTGACAGAAAAGACAAATGTTTGAAATTGATTTAGAAAGATTTGGGTATCATATAAACCATGGGTGGGAGACACAGTTTTCTTTTTTTTTTTTTTTTTTTTGGAAACAGACTTTAATTCAAAATCATGGGAAGCCATGCTTAAGTGCAGACCTTCAGATGACATTAAAGCAGAATGCATCAGGTGGGAGGACTTCTGGGAAGTAGATACACTTTTCCCTATTCTTTCCACTAAATAAAACTAAATCCCTGGACAACATATATGAAGCAAACAGTAACACCTCCCCAAGCAGTATAGGCAGAGACTACATGGCCTAGAGCGCCACACTCAACCAGAAGTAGGGAAATTTCTGACCATTCCTCATTTCTCCACCAGGAAGGCTTTAGAGCAGGAATAGTGGAAAGTCATGACTTTCATCAAGGAGTAATGAGATTTCCCCACCTACTCTGTGTGAGTGGAAGCCATGTGGGAGGCAGGAAGGAGGCACTCCAACCCCCGCCAGCCAGGAGGGTATCAGTGGAGACATAGTGGAGAGCCAGAATGCCGACCCACACCCAGCCGTAATGGAGTATAATGAAGCATATTGCCCACATTAATTGTGAAAGCAAGGTGAGTGAAGAATTGAATTTCTATCCCAACATGGCAGTAATAAGGCAGCACTCTCATTTTCCTGTTAGAGCACTGCCAGAGAAGTCAGCTGAAAGACAAGGTTTAAGAAAAATTTACTCATGATAGAACACCCAACATGTCAATGATTCCGTTGAAAATTACTTGTTATACTAAGAACCCAGAAGATATCAAACTGAAGGAAAAACGACAATGAATAGATGCCAACACAGAGATGAAAGAGATGTTAGAATTACTTGACAAAGATTTTAAAGCAATCATGAAAAAATGCTTCAATGAGCAATTATAAGCACACATGAAACAATGAAAAAAATAAAGACACAGCAAAGAAACAAATTCTTGGAAATAAGTAGACAATATAAAGAAGAAGCAGATGGAAATTTTAGAACTGAAAAATATAATAAAAACTCTAAACTGAAATTAAAAATTCTCAATAACAGAATAAAAGGCAAAAGGAAAGAATTCCTAAACTTAATGACGGAACAATACAAATGACCTAAATTCTGAAGAGCAGAGAGAAAATAGACAGGAAAAGGAAAATGAACAGAGCCTCAGGGATCTATAAGACTATAAAAAATTGATGTTCATGCCATTAGAGTTTCAGAAGGAGAGGAGAAAGAGGTAAGGTTAAAAACTTCTCAAAGAAATCATGGCTAAAGATTTCCGAAATTTGACAAAAGACATAAGCCTGAAGATTCAAAAAACTAAGCAAACCCCACATAAAATAAACTCAAAGGAATTCACGCCAAGACATATCGTAATAAACTTCTGAAACTAAAGACAAAAAAATCTTGATAATATCAGGTGAGAAATTACACCTTACCTATAGAGGGGAAAAAAATTGAATGGCAAAATTTATTGTCAAAAATCATGGAGGCAAGAAAAAAGTTGCACAACCGTAATAGCTAAAACAATTTTGAAAAGGATACAGTGGAAGAAAGCATTCTACTTGATTTCCAGACTTATTATATAGCTACAGTAATGAAGACACATGTAATTGGCAAAGAAATAGAGACACAGATTAATTGACTAGAATACACAACTCAGAAATAGACCCACACAAATATGCCCAATTGATTTTGACAAAGGGGCAAAAACCTTCAATGGAGTCAAAATAGACTTTTCAACAAGTGGTGCTGGGGAAATTCAACATACATTGTTTAAAAAAATAAACCTTTACCTAAGTCTCACTCCTTATACAAATAAAAACTGAAAATGGGTCACATAATTGAATGTGAAATATAAAATTATAAATTTTTAGAAAAAACAGAAGAAAATCTTCCTGATCTATGTCTAAGTAAAGAGTGTTTTTGACTTGACAGCAAAATCACAATTCATGTAAGCAAACATTGATTAGATTTTATAAAAAATAAAGACTTTTTTTAAATGTGAAAGACCCTGTTAAAAGAATGAAAAAACAAGCTACAGATTAGGAGAAAATATTTGCAAAACCATCTGAGGCAGGAGAAAGGATGGTAAATATTTGAAAATCATCTGGTAAAGGATAATTATTTAGAATACTTAAAGAACTCTGAAAACTCAACATTTAAAAAAATGCCATTCGAAAACGGACAAAACCGGAAAAAGAGTATGCAGATGGAAAATAAGCACATGAAAAGATGTTCAACATCATTAACGATTAGAGAAATACAAATTAAACCACAATAAGATATTACTACGCACGTATCAAAGTAGCTAAATAAAATAATTAGTGACAACACCAAATGCCGAAGAGGATGTGGAAAACCAGATCACTCATTCATTGCTGGTAGGAATGTAAAGTGGTACAGGGATCATGAAAAATAGTTTGGCAGTGTCTTAAAATACTGAACATGCAGCTACCATATGACCCAGCAATTACACTCTGGAACATGTATCCTAGAGAAATAAAAACATGCTTACCCAGAAATCTATGCACAACTGCTTATAGTTTTCTTTTTAATAACCTGAAACTGGACACAACTTTAATGTCCTTCATCAGTTGAATAGTTAAACTAACTTGGTATGTCCCTACCATGGAATATTAGTTAGCAATAAAAAGAAACAAACCATTGACATATATAACAACTTGGATGAATCTCCAGATAATTACGCTAGGTGAAAAAACCCAATCCCAAGATTTCACGTATATAAATTATTGAACTGACAAAGTTATAAAAATGGAAAAAGATTAGCTTTTTTCAAGGGCTAAGAAGAGGTGGTGATGGAAGGTAAGTGGATGTGGCTATAAAAGGGCAATATGAGGCACCCTTGTATCGATGAAAACATCTGTATCTTAACTAAATCAACTTCAAAATACTGGCTGTTATATTTTACTACAGTTTAAGACATTACTTGCCAGGCCTGGTGGCTCACGCTTGTAATCCCAGCCCTTTGGGAAGCCAAGGCAGGTGGATCTCAAGGTCAGGTGTTCCAGACCAGCCTGACCAACATGATGAAACCCTGTCTGTACAAAAAATACAAAAATTAGCCGGGTATGGTGGTGTGCGCCTGTAATCCCAGGTACTCGGGAGGCTGAGGCAGGAGAATTACTTGAACCAGGGAGGCAGAGGTTGAGCTGAGATTGCACCATTGCACTCTAGCCTGAGTGACAGAGGGAGACTCCATCTCAAAAAAAAAAAAGGAAAAAAATTTTAAACAGACATTACCATTGTGGAATAGCTAGGTAAAGGACACAGGAGTTATTGCTACGTTATTTCTTACAACTGCATGTGAATCTATAATCATCTCAAAATGAAAAGTTTAATTTAAAAAAGAAGAGAGTTCCTGCCTGGCTGCCTCCAAACTGGGACATTAGCCTTTTCCAGCCTTTGTACTTGAATTGAATCATCAGCTCATCCTGAGTCTTGAGCCTGCTGGCTGTCACACTGGAACTACATCTTAGGCTTTCCTGGGTTTTCAACTGATCAGCTCACTCTGGTGATCTTGGGAATTGTCTGCCTCCATAACTGGGAAAGTCTAACTGCAGCATTCTGGAGGTCAGCCTGTCTGCATGCAGACTATCCAGAAAGGAAACTTGTTAAGTTGGTATAAGATCTTAAAAAGGAAACAATATTCCACTGAATATTCACCAACAAAAGGAAAACATCTATTTAACAGAAGGTCCAAGGTATTGTGGGAACAGAGACCTAGACCCTCCATTGCACTGATAGGCTACAAGGCCTAGAGGCAGAAAACACTCACCTCCTCCACAAATAACCAAAATAGTGAGTAGATAATCACACGTTGAATAGAGGACCCAAGAGAGAACATTAGAATTCAACAGAGAAGTGATGGAAAACACATAAGGCAGGAAAGGAGAGGGAAGCAAGGCAGCAGCCTTGCTGGGATCAGCTGAGTGCCTGGAGAAGCTTCCCATGTGGGGAAAGGGTAAAATATATTGTCCCCAGAAGTCCACCTTTACACTGTGAATTCCTGCAATCCTAGCCATGGGAGGGCCTCTCGACCACTGAGGGTGCTGAAACTAGTATAGGGAGCTGCCTGGAAAATGTTTAATGGCATTGCTTTAAAGAAGAAGTTCACTCTGGGTCCCAAACACTCCTCAAAACACAAGCACCTGCAGTATGGTACCATTTTGAGAGCCCAACCCCACCTACTGCATCCTGTCCTGGGGCCCAACAACCCCTGAATCTCCACATCCCTGGAGCCTCACTGATATTCCCTTGTGTCTACCCAGAGGGCTGCAGCAGTGCAATGCCAGTTGGAACCAGGAGTATGATAGGGAACCCAGCACTCTAGCCCAAAGAGTATCCTACACTCTGGGTAACAGGTGATGAAGTACAGCAGGGAGGCTGTCCCTGAGTCAAAGGGAACCAAAGTATGTGCTCCCAGAGCCACAGAGTCACCTGTCTGGGACTGCTGCCATTGACAGCAACACTGTCCCCATCAGCAGCAGGGCCCTGCCTTCTTGCACATGCTCTAAAGACAGGCTCTCTTTGCCCACTGTGACCACTTTGAGCATACTGCATGGGGGCCTGAGGATAGCCCCACTGTGCCCACCACCGCCTGTACCTATGTGCACTGCCAGGGGGCCTGAGGACAGGTTTGCCAGCCTGTCAATGCTCTTCACTTGTCAGTGCCCAAGCACACTATTTGTGGGTCTGGGTGTTACCCTACCCCACTGGTCACATTGAGTGAACATGCATACCACCAGAGAGCTCAACAATAGGCACAGAACACTTGCTTCCAGCAGCCAAACATACTATGCAGAGGCCTGGGGGTTGTGCTGCTCCATTCACCACTGTTGGCATCTGTGTATTCCTATGGAAATCTGAGGAGGGGCCCACCTAGCCTACCACCACTACCATTGCTGGCAGCCACCTGCATGTACCACCTGGGGGTCTCACCCAAAGAAATCTTCTCCAATGCACATTATGTTCAAATTGTCAAAAGTCAAAGACAATGAATGAATTCTAAAAGCAGCAAGAGTAAATTTTCTAGTCACATATAAAGGAACCCACATTAGACTAACAGCAGATTCCTTAGCAGAAACGTTATGGGCCAGGAGATAATGGAATAATATATTCAAAGTGCTAAAGGAAAAAAAAACCTGTCAGTCAATCATACTATACCCAAGAAAGTTACTATTCAAAAATGAAGGAGAAATAAAGTGTTTCCCAGACAAGCAAAAACTGAGGGAATTCATCACCACTGGATTAGCCCTGCAAGAAATGCTTAACCTGCAAGCAAAAGAACAATATCTACCATCAATAAAACACATGAAAGTATGAAACTCACTGGTAAAGCAAATGCATAAATGGAGAAGAGAAAGAACTCAAATGTTACCACAACAGAAAAGCACTGAACTGCAATGATAAACAATAAGAGAGAAAGAAAGCAATTAACAAAATGACAGGAATAAGTCCTCAGATATCAATATTAACCCTGCATGTAAACAGATTAAACTTTTCACGTAAAAGATATAGACCAGCTGAATGGACGTAAGAGAAAACAAAAAGTATGACCCAACAGTATGCTGTCTACAAACAAACAAACCTCAGTTCATCTGTAAAGACACATATAAACTAAAAGTAAAGGAATGCAAAAAGATATTCCATGCAAACAGAAACCAAAACTGAGCAGGAGTAACTATACTTATATCAGATAAGAGATACTTTAAGTCAAAAACAGTAAAAGGGGCAGAAAAGATGATTACGTAGTTATAAAGGTATAAATTTAGCAGAAGCATATAAAAATTGTAAATATATATGCACCCAACACTGGAGCACTCAGATATATAAAGCAAATATAATTAGACTGAAAAAAAAAGAGATAGACTCTATTCTCAGCATTCACCCCATTGTTAGCATTAGACAGATCATCTACACAGAAAAGCAACAAAGAAATATTGGATTTAAACTGCACTTTAGACCAATGGACCTAACAGATATTTACAGAATATTTTATCAAACAGCTGCAGAATACACATTCTACTCATCAGCACATGGAACACTCTAGTTTAGACCACAATGTTAGGCCACAAAACAAGTCTTTACAATTTTTGAAAATCAATATCATATCAAGTATCTTATCATACCACAATGAAATATAATTAGAAGTCAATAACAAGGGAAACTATGGAAACTATACATACATGTACGTTAAACAGAACTATGCGAAATTGAGACTAAAAAGCATATAAAAGATCAACAAAATGAAAAGTGTTCTTTTTGAAGAAGTAAACAAAATTGATAAGCTGCTAGCTGAACTAAGAAAAAAGGAAAGAAGACCCAAATCAACCAAACGAAAAACAAACAAACAAACAAAAAAGGAGACATAGCAACTGATACCACAGAAATATAAAAGACCATCAGAGGCTATTATGAACAGCTATGTGATAAGAAACTGGAAAATCTGTAGGAAATGAATAAACTCCTGGACACATATAGCCCAGCAAGATTAAATCAGAAAGAAATAGAAAACTTAAACAAATCAGTAATGAATAATGAGGTTGAATTAGTAATAAAAAGTCTCCCCAGGATGGGATGACTTTGCTGCCAAATTCTACCAAACTTATAAAGAAGAACTGACATGAATTCTCTTGAAACTATCCAAAAAAATTGAAGAGAAAAGAACTATTCCTAACTCATTTTATGAGGCCAGCATTACCCTTATATCAAAACCAGAGACACAACAAAAAAAGAGAGAATGCTACAATTCAATATTCTTGTTTATCATGGACACAAAAATCCCCAGCAAATGCTAGCAAATCAAATCCAACAGCACATCAAAAAGAAAATATGCAATTGTCAAGTGGAATTTATACTAGGAATGCAAAGATGGCTCAACATACACAAATCAATGAATATGATACATCAACAGAATGAAGGACAAAAACCTTATCATTTCAACAGACACAGAAAAATTATTTGGCAAAATGCAATGTCTCTTCATAATGATAAAAGAAAAACTCTCAAAAAACTAGCCATAGAAAGCAAATACCTCAACATAATAAAGGCCATATATGACAAGCCCACAGCTAACATCATACTGAATGTAGAAAAGCTGAAATCCTTTCTTCTAAGAACTGGAACAAGACAAGGATGCCCATTTTCACCACTCCTATTCAACATACTACTGGAAATCCTAGCTAGATCAATGAAGCAACAGAAAGAAATAAAAGGCATCCAAATTGGAAAAGTAGAAGTTACATTGTCCCTCTTTGCAGAAGACATAATTTTGTATTGAGAAAAAACTAAAAACACCACCAAAAACCACTTAGATCTGATAAAAAAAATTCAGTAAAGTTGCAGGATACAAAATCACACAAAATCAGTAGCATTTCTACACACCAGTAATAAGCTGGCTGAAAAAGAAATCAAGAAGTCAATCCCATTTATAATAGCTATAAAAAGTAAAATACAAGGCCTAGGAATAAATTTAACCAAGAAAGTAAAAAACTTGGTTGGGCACAATTGCTCATGCTTGTATTCCCAGCTCTTTGGAAGGCTGAATGGGGAGGATCACTTGAGGCCAGGAGTTCAAGACCAGCCTGGGAAACATAGTGAGACTCCATCTCTTCAAAAATGTTTTTTTAAAAAAATTTTTACAAGGAAAACTATATAACACTGATGAAAAAATTGAAGAAGACACAAATGAGAAGACATTCCATCCTCATGGATTAGAAAAATTAATAATGTTAAAATTAGAATACTACCCAAAGCAATCTACAAATTAAATACGATCCCTTTCAAGACACGAATTATAATTTTCACAGAAATAAATAGAGAAACAATCCTAAAATGTGCATGGAAGCAAAAAAGAGCCCAAATAGACAAAGCAATCAGAACCAAAAGAAACAAAGCTGGAGGCATCACATTACCTGACTTCAAAATATATTACAAGGCTACAGTAACCAAAACAACATGGTATTGGAATAAAAGCAGACACACAGACCAATGGAATAGATTGGAGAACCCAGAAATAAATTCAATTATTTACAGCCAAATGATTTTCAACAAAGGCACCAAGAACACATACGAGGGAAAGGACATTTTCTTCAATAAATGGTGCTGGAAAAAAATGAATCTCCATATGCAGAAGAATAAAATTTAGTTCCTTTCTCTCAACATATAAAAAGTAAATTCAAAATGAATTAAAGATTTAAATGTAAAACCTATAATTATAAATGTATTAGAAGAAAACATAGGGGAACTCTTCAGGATATTTGTCCAGTCAAGACTTTAAAAGTTAGCTAACAAAAACAAAAATAGACAAATGGGACTATATTGAACTGAACTTCTGCACAGCAAAGGAAACAGGTAACAGAGTGAAGAGACACCCTGTTGAATGGGACAAAATATTTGTGAACTATTCATCTGACGGGACTAATATCTAAAATATACAAGGAACTCAAAACAACTCACCAACAATAAAAATCAAATAATTTCACTAAAATGTGGGCAAAAATCAGAATAGATATTTCTCAAAAGAAAACATACAAATGGCCAACAGGTATATGAAAAAAATTTTCAACATCACTAAACATCAGGGAAATACAAATCAAAACCACAGAGAGATATCATCCTACTCAGTTAGAATGGCTATTCTAGAAAGACAAAATACAATAGTTGCTAGTGGGAATATGGAGGTAAGGGAACTCTTATGCATTGATGACAATGTAAATTAGTACAATGATTATGGAATACAGTGTGGCGATTTCTCAAGAAAACTAAAAATAGAACTATCATATGACCTAGCAATCCCACTACTGGGTATTTATCCAAAGGAAAGAAAATCAGTGTATTAAAGGGATACCTCCCTGCCACTCACATGTTTATTGCAGCACTGTGCACAATAGCAAAGATATGGAATCTACCTAAGTGTCTATCAATGGATGAATGGATAAAGAAAATGTGGTACATATACATAATGTAATACCATGAGGCCATTAAAAAATAAAATTCTATTTGCAACAACATGAATTGAACTGCAGGTCATCATATTAAGTGAAACAAACCAGGCACAGAAAGACAAATATTGCAATGTTCTTACTCATATGTGTGAGCTAAAAAAGTTGATCTTGCCAAAGTAGAGAGTAGAATGATAGTTACCAGAGGCTGACAGGATGTATATGTGAAGGAGTGAGAGGATGAAGAGAGGTTGGTTAACAGGTACATTCAATTAGTTAGAAGGAATAAGTTCTAACGTTTGATAACAGAATAGCATGACTATAGTTAACAACAATGTATTGTATATTTCAAAATAGCTAGAAGAGAGGACTTAAAATATTCACAACAAATAGAAATCATAAATATTTGAGGTGATGGACATCCTAAATAACCTGATTTGACCTTTACATATTGCATGCATGTAACAAAACATCACATGTACCCCATAAATGTTTGTACATATTGTGTATGTATAAAAATAAAAATAGAGATCAAAAAAGAGAAGAAAGCATACTAAAACATAAGCAAAGCAAAACAAAACAAGAGTGAAAAGAGTTTTCTTAGAATCTTCCAGCTTGGAAAATAATAATTTTTTTAATCACTTGCCACCTGATTTCTCTATACAGATCATGGAGAATCTACAGATAGACTCTGCAAGATGTATCGTCTTTCCTTCTAGGGTTGTGCTGTCTTGCCTCATGATGGGACTCATTGAGTTCTGTTTCTGAACACACTAACAATTTTTCTGGATTAAAATTTTGACTTGTTCTTTTAGCACTCCAAGCAAGCTGCTTGGGCTTCCTAGTATTCCAGCATCTTGCTTGTAAAACAGCTAACAACACGGCCAAATCCATTAGAGCATACCCTTATCAACCTCCTGAGTTTATTGATATTTACATTTATGATACAGACAAGTTTTTTGAGAGCCTCTTTTTCTGCTGCCTGGTGTTTGCTTTCACAGGGAGAGGCCAGACAATTGAGAGGGAAGGAGGCAGCACTTGTGCTAGATTTATTGGCACAGCACACTGAAGAGCAAACACACCACCAAATAGAGGATATTGATAAGGAGACTAAATTCATTTGAAATCACTAAAACTCAGTTAGGGGCATATTGTATTAAGTGAAATGCCATTACTGAAGGGCCAAGGGAAAGACTGTATGCCAAGTCATGAGAGCTTTTCAGCTCACTGGAAGGCAGCCATTGCACCCACGCACTACATTTGATGGTTTGGAAGAAGAGATAATTTCTGCATAGATCATAAACGGACTTAAATCTCTCAGTCACTAGGAGCACAGGCATGAGCTGAATTGTCCCCAAGTGAGAGTGTACAAGAGAGGATCCCCATGCAGTAAAAGCATACACTAAGCAAGTATAAATTCCAGCTTTCCATAAAGGCATTCTTTCCCCGTGATTGTGGCACAATGGTGTATTAAAAAATTCCACACTAAGGAGCATCATTTGATTCTGTGATTTGTGTGTGCATGTATGTGTGTGTGTGTTTGTGTAAAGCATCTCACTCTTTGTAGAGAAGATGACAGAACTCTGGCTTACTTAATGTATTTTAACCATTTTTAAATGGAAAGTTCCTCCAACTAACGTAAGTTCCTGCCCAGGCCATAAGAACAACTTGGGGTCTATTCTGGGTGCAGGAGAGAGGTTGCTACCTGCCACAAGTAAAAGAGTAGACTCATAAAGGCTGTTTTCTCCTAAGCAGCCTCCTAGCACTTCTCTGAAGGTTGTTTGAGGTTTCCTCACTTGATGTCTCTCATGCTGCCCTTGCACTGTTAATCGTAGTGAGCAAGGATGGGCGGTAAACAGGAGTCAATTTCAGTGATGTGTATAAATCTTGTTCAGGTTATTCAGACTAAGGCAGCCCCTTATCTAACAAGCAACAGAGCAGACTTTGGAAAACACTTTTCACCTGTGACAATAGCGGCCCAGTTTTGTCCTCGTCAACAGTGGAATAAATGTAATATCTCATGTCAGCTAACTCCATGTCTTATTTATGCCAAATTCTTCTGGGTTCAGCATTTTAAGACAGCCTTTGCATTAGGATTTTATTCTAGCACAGACTCCTAGAATAGCATTGTTCTGCAAAGAGAGAAGACACTTTTAAGTAAAATTTTATAATGACCAGAATAGAAATGAATTGTTGTCTTTGCTGTGCTATCTCACCTGACTGTTTATAAAGTAAGAAGAATGTTGGCAAATCAGGAGACATCATACTTCAAACCTTTGATAATAAGTACATTGAAAACTATCAGAGTTGTGCTGAAACACTATGAAATAATTCCAACAGTCACAAACAGAACCATGGCTAGTTGGAGGAAGATTAAGGGTTATTTATTGGCCATTGAGGGCTTCCACCTAAAATTAAACTTTTTGGAGGGCATGCATTTGAATGTGAGGTCCTAAAAGGAATATGAACACAGTAAAAAATGCTCATATTTACAAGAAACACATATTCCCTTCTCTGTGGTCAAAAATGCATATGGCTGGCCTTTTGGCAACATGATCATACTTTTTCTTGATACAGTCAAAGCACAAAAATGAGCTTCATTCTACTGAACTAATCTGTATACGGCAAAATAATTAAAAATTGCAAATGTTTGTAAGATTATCAGACATGCTTTGCCAGCATGTGTTTTCGTATATCAAACTATCAAATGAACCAATTTTGAAACAACCAAATTCACATTATTTAATTACGAAGCTTTAATTGAAGGAAGAAGATAGAGGTCCTGAAAATTAAAAACAAGAAAAAAAGCTTATCGGTATTTGTATTTATCGCTCTGATATACACTCTATATAAGATCTGAATGGTCTTGCACCATTCCCACCTGATGATATCTCTCTCCTGGCAAAACTCTTCAATTATTGCCCAGTTTCTCCAGAATAAAGGCTATGCTACTGTGAATGGCAACACTGCATATCTATCAGTCTGGCCTCTGTCTAGGTCTGCCACCTTATTTCTAGATTTTTCTTTGTTACTTTTTATGGTTCAGCAACACTAAACAACTTATTCCCCAAACATGCCATGTTCTCTTGGCATCTGCATTTTCTGTTTTGTCTGTTCCCATTACTCAATTGGCAAACTTCTATTTATTATTTTAAACCTGAGCCTCAATGTAACTCCCTCTTGGAAGCCTTCCTTAATATACCTAGCAGACTATTCTTCGACTGTGATGTGGCCCTATTTTATTTTGTGTATACACACATTATTGTCATTACAAATACTTGTCAACATATCTGGTTCTTAAGGGCAGAAACTATGTAATTTCTTCCTTGTTTCTTCAGTGCATACTATAGTATTTTATATATGTGCGGTCTTAAAGAGTCAGTGAATAAATGAATCAATCCATACATGAGTTAATGAATGAAAGTAGCTGTAGAGAATACATTTGTAGTTTTAAACACATTGCAGTGCGTGAACCTGGGAGGCGCAGCTTGCAGTGAGCCGAGATCGCGCCACTGCGCTCCAGCCTGGGCGACAGAGCATGTCTCCGTCTCAAAACAAAACAAAACAAAAATTGCAGCAAAACAGATGTTAAAAAAGAAAAGGTACGTTCCTAATTCCTCTCTTTTTGTGATTTGCAATGTCATTTAGGGAGTCCTAGAGCTGGACTTCCCAGAGCTGATGGTATGATGGTTTTCCTTACCACAGTGAACCACGCTGAAATTTTCTCAGAAGCACAATATTTCTCTACTCCTCATCTTCTCCCTCCTCCTTCTCCTCCTCCTTATCATCAATATATACATAATCAAAATTGTACTCTTGTTCAGAATCTGCTCATTCACAAAAATAAAATTAAATAAACTCTTATACATAACCATTCATGGCTCAAAGAAAAACACTGTTTCCCATGTCAAGAAAAACCAGCTTGCAGAAGCAAAATAAATATTAGCCTTATCGCAGAGCCAAAGTGATATACATGTCCAGATATGTGCTGTTTTTAGCTTTTAAAATAAGCAAGGTACTATTTTGACATGATGGCTTAATACTTGAGTCTTCCAAATTTTACCCTGAGAAGAGATCCGTGTCTGGCCAAGGGAATGTGTCCTATGGCAAAAGGATGAGAACATGCTAGGGTTTTCTAATGCCTTTTTCACATTCTTACAGGCAGAGTATCATGGTCCCCATTTAAAAATACCATTTATTTAAATATTTCCTTAATAATGATGCCCTCAAACACAGTATTCACACCTACCTCACAGCAGTATCGGTAGATACACTGGATACTATTTACAAAAGGTATAATTTCTTTCTTAGAAGGAGTTGTATTAAAAATTAAAAATGTTAAGGATGTAATTGAGCAATACCATATTAATAACTCCAGTGTCCAGAGAATGAAGTGTGCTAGATACTTGAATTTTCTGGTTAATAGAGTGTTGTACTTTCTAAGAGAGCAGATTAGGAGGGTAGGCTTGAACTTAAACTACTTAGGTTCAAAACTGAGCTCTGCCACTTCCTAGCTGTGCAAGCTTGGGCAACTTTATTCCCTTCTCTGGAACCTCAGAGTCTTCATTTTTTGAAAAAAAGAATCATGATGATATATATCTCCAGTGCTGTGCCAAGTCATATTCGAGACTGAAGCAAAAAAGAAAATGGTGTGCTACTACACACACTATAAAATATCCTCTAATATTTTTAATCAAGTGGAAAAAGAAAAAGTAAGTTCCACAATCAGAAAAGCATGTCAATATTTAAAGCTTTGCATTGTCCAATCTGTTCACAGCCATTGTCAACCCTTATAAATTTACCCTGTGGGGTGTGCAATGATGCCCCAGGGCCAGAACCTTGGGCTGGTTAAATATTACTGTTCAATTGCACGATAATACAGGATCACAAGAGACAATAACCTATCTTTATGTTAAATTCTGATAATTTATTCGTTATGAATTTTTGTATTTATTTTTATTTTAAAAAATATTTTATTAAAATATGATTTATTCTGCTTACTGAGATTTTTGGTATCCACTTTAATATTGTGCACTAACCTCACCTGAGTTGTGACTGTGTCTAGCTCATGTGTTGTTTTGAGGATGAAATGAAATAATTATTGTAAAGACCTTAGCAGTAGGCCTGACACATACTTAGTGCCCAGTAGTGTTGTTAATTAACATTGTTCTTGAAAAGGTAATAGGCATAGGAAGTATAGGTTTTGACCCTTTTTGCCCTTTGTGGGATAATCTTCCCAATATGTCAGTGTTATCCCTTAATTCTCTTGAGTCCTATTAACTTATAACCACCAAACTAACCACATTAATTCGTTTTAGGACCCACTGGATATCCTTTAAACAGAGTAGTTACTGTACAAATACCTTAATTTCTGCCTTTCGTCTTTCTGAACAAACTTACCATTTGGATTGAGGAGGTTGGTTGATTTGGTTCAACACTGAAGTTCATGCTTTCTTACCGAATTGGTCATTTGTATGGTTTGGTTGAATAGCCAGTCAGTCATAACACTTAAGCCAGGTATTTGTGCAGATTAAGTGCTAAAGCTAAGGCCCATGTTGTGAGGCTAAGTAAAGGTAGGCTCCTAGAAAATATAGCTAATTGAAGACTGATCTCTCCAAACACATTATTCTTTGTGTTTTCACAAAGTAACATCTGTGACAGTTCTGCCATGATCTGAATGTCTGTGACCCCTGTAAGCAATGCCCTCTGCTGCCTTCTGAAATTAATCCACCTGATCAGATTATGATGCTGATTGTGATGTGACACATGAGATATTTAAAAAGTGTTTCCAATAGCAACCTTGTCAAAATACATTTGCCCTCTCAAAAAAGGAATACAACGACTGCATGGCTGGTTCCAACATACACAAAATGCATGGTAAATAACCAAGAAATAAGCAAAAATAAGAGGAGACTTAGCTGATGTGATTTTAAGTGAGTGATATTTTGGAAGGGGTTAAGCATTCTTACAACTAATATATGACTGAGAAGATTCAACTTTAGTAACTGCATGAGAATATTATAAACCAAGCCCACACAATATTAAAATTAGTTAAAATATATGCAAAATTTATGAGAGAATGTCAGGTGTAATACTTGATAAAGTAAGCTTAATGCTTAAGAAATTTATCTTCAGGCTGAAAAGCCAACTCTTGCAATTCTGAGTGAGAGTATAATTTTAGAAACTCTTTTCTGTAAAGTCATTCTTTTATTAATGAGATCAGCTCTAGGTGAGCTGAAAGTGGTAACTTCCTAAAGCATCCAGGAGGACAAACAAGACCCTCAAAAGCACTGGGACATCAGTAGTACCTGTTAAAAAAATACTGGGGAAAAAATATGTCCTCAAAATTTGTGTCTGTTCAGTCATATTTCTTTTGTTGTTTGGAATATTGCTGAAGCTTGTGAAAAATAAGTTTGAGGGCTGACAGAGGCTCTGTGTTATCTTAGACTTTTCTTCTTCACTCTGGGTGTGTCACATTGTTACACTGGGTGACACCTTTATTATCAGGCCAGAATTCAGTGTAAATATACCACCAGAAAGTCCAGAGAGTGGACTTCCATTGGCTAATTAGTCACATACTACAGCTCCCAGCTGAAATAATGCTGTGGATGAAAGAAGAGAAAAATCTGCTTATTGCACCATCTCTCTGCAGGATAACTCAATCTCTTCTTTGTAATCCAAACACTTTTATTCACAAAGCAGGCAAGTATAAACTCAATCAGCCAGGGTAAATTATTGACAGCCAAACACTGTTGAAGCATCCAGCAAAGGTTAGAAAAGAACGTCAGACATGTTTAAGCTTGTGAAATCACATCATGTTTAGGAACACTAGTCATTTTTAGATGACCTTAATCTCTAGGCTTTTGGCATGCTGCCCAAGAGCTGGGATTTGCTGTGTATATCCTTCTCAAGGGCCTGGCTGGGTAAGAAGTTTCTAGGAATTCAGGACTTTTCATGCACCAAGAATTTGAAAACTGTCACTTCGCAAATATCTCAATTCCTGATTTTTGTCTCTAATGCACACAGCGTTTCTGAACAAGCATGGCGTTCTGAAACTAAGTTGGATTTAAAGAAATATCTAAGTGACTTATTTTATACTTGCCACAACTCTTTTGAGTCACTTCTTCAATTCTGCAACTCAATATCAAAAACAATAATAAAAACAAAAGAAGAATGTAATGGTTTGGTTAACCTTTAATGTAACAGCTAAACTTCTTCCTGGCATTATAGAGTGGTTGGATAAAGGATTACCACTATTGTAGAATGATGTTCCCAGCAACACAGCATGAGGAAATACTTGAGTTGGTAATCCTGCCTAAAATATTCAAATAGGGCCAATTAACTTGTTCATAGCTGCTTTACATGTCTTATTACCTCACATAACTGTTTTAAAAGCTATCTTACCAAAGAATAGCATTAGTTCAATATTAATTTCCCTTGCTCTGAAGTCAACTGTTTTTCTTCTTTCACTGTGTCATGTCTCTGTCCTACTCCTCCCTTTCCATTTTTCTTTTACTTTCAACTTCTCCAAACATTTTTTACTAGATACGATTTTATACAGGTTTTATTTCTTGAAAGCTATTCTAAGCCTTTCTTACAAAATGAGGATGATCAATAAATTGTCTGCTTGCCAATTCTTAAAAAAAGAGAGAGGTTTAAAACATGAAGAAAATTGCTGTGAAGGTGTGACTGCCAGATGCCAGAAGAGTTTAGATAAGTCAGTGCAAATCTCTCTATATGTGAAGAAAGAAATCTGTAGATAGATTTCTATATTCAGTGGAATTAGGTGAAGCTCTTACATCAATATTAGGTATTGAATCTGACCTTTTTTGAGGAATAGTTTATGGAATGGATAACCAACATTATTTAAGGTTGCATAAGTTACAAGGTAGTATACTTACCGTAAGCATTAAAGGCTTCTAGAGAAAGAAATGAGTAGCCTCAGAGGATAACAGCTCTCAATATTCATGGCCAGAGGCCAGAATGTCAGAAAGAAAGTGATCAACTGCTTTTTTAACAGTGACTTCCCCTGGATGGGGAATGGAAAGCCTCTTTGGTATTCACTACGCACCAGCAAGGAGTGTGGCTCCTTCTGGGTTTTGTACAGGGCCCAGCTCTACGCACACTCATTACAAGGTTATTACCATCATTATGGTGGACAATGCAATAATATTTTAAATGGGCCAAATTTGGCTCCTAGCTATTCATGTGCTGCTCTTGCAGGCCTTAGGGAAAATAGCTTATGAGTGCAGGGAAATCTAATCTGGCCCACATCCCATTGCTTCCTCTATGACACATTGAAAAGAGCCTCTGTGAAGAATTTCCATGGTTCTGGTTTGCATGAGCACTGATGAAAAGAAGTGGACTTTGTGGATAACTCTCTGGGCCTAATAGAAGAACTTATTCGGGGTAAAAATATAAAACAAGTAAAGTTAGTTGCCCAAGCCCTCCATTATCCCTTTCTGATTCATTTCCCTGACAGCTGTATGTCTTTCTCTGATCCTATTCTCATACTCCATTTTTCCTCTTGTGAAGAAGAAAAAATTCAAAGAAAGCCAACATCTGCCAAAGTATGTTTCATGGGCTAGTAGTTCTTCAAAATGTCTTGCCACAAAAAATTCTGGAGTCAGATAGATTTTAGAGAAGTCTCTCTTGGAGAGTCATAGGGCACATATGAACATGCTAGAGATTTTGAGTGGCTTCAGAGGAAAGGGGCCTATAGAACTACGTTTAGGGCCCCTGTTTGTGACATAAGATCTAATACTTCTTAGAATTAATATTGTTCTATGGAATTATGTTTCAAATTTTACAGATCTTATGGAAATGATAATGTTTAATATTGAGGGTGTCATGTTAAGGTCAGCTGAACTTCAAACCTAAGCTATACCAGCTGAATATTTAAATGAGAAAGAGTTTTTCAAAACCTTATCCCCAAAGCAGTGAATCTAGATGAGAACTTCAAAAAATTATAAAGGCATTTATTTCTTTGCAGACACAATTCTGTATGAGAAACAAAATACCTGGTATGAGAAAATTATTAGTATCATCCAGTGTAACTGATGTTTACCATAGTTTTAGCAACTACAACTCATAATAATAAGATAGTGTGTTAAACACGGCATACCTTCTCTGATTCAGGAGATGGCTTTGCCATCAGTTGAATGATTTCTGGGAATCAAAGCTAAATTTTGAACATTGTTTTTGGATTTATTCCAAATGTAAAAAACTAAGACAATTAACTACGTAGAATATGGACCCTCGCAACTTCAAAATGCACATTTCTTTTCAACCAGATTTCTGGTAACTTTTGGTCTTGATGAAATGATTAGCTAACTGATTTTCAACTAATTTAAGAATAGGATTCCAGCAAAACAGTTTGTGCATACAATCACCTAGGCAAAGATGACCCTGGCAATTATTAGCTTGCTCTTCCTCTGCAGAATTCCTGGGGAAACATGATCCACAGTCAACTAACCATTTTCATTAATATGCACTTATTCCTGCAGAAAGAAACATAACAGGCTACTCCATCCACAGACTTTAGGCATGCAGCTTGTGTGCAAGTGAAGCTTCCACAATGTTGTTCTACTCTCATTCCTCTGCAAGGTGGCATTACTAGGGAAAGTTTAAGGGGAGTGGGTGGGCAGAAAATGATGCAAAAACTTTTTCCTGTAGAAGTGATTCTTTATCTGGGTTAAGGGCAGTACACAATTTTACAAGAAACAGAGCTTTCTGTAATTGTTGCATTGGGGTACATGTAAGGAGACACATTGCACTACATATATGTCACATGGCCCTTCTGTGGTATTGATGTTTCTTGTGATAAAAAGTAGACAAACTGAACATTCAAGGGTACATTTTAGAATAGGATTTTCAGCTAAGCAAACAAGAAACCTGCACAGAATAACAAATTTATCCAATTAAAAAAATCTTACACATAAACTAAAACCAAGAGCACTGTATTAATCCATTCTCACTCTGATATAAAGAACTGCCCAAGATTGGGTAATTTATAAAGAAAATAATTTTAATTGACTCACTTCTGCATGGCTGGGGAGGCCTCAAGAAACTTACAATCATGGTGGAAATGGAAGAGGCATGTTTTACATGGTGGCAGGCGAGAGAGAGCAAGTGCATGAAGAAGGAACTGTCAGACACTTATGAAACCACCAAATCTTGTGAGAACTCACTCACTATCATGAGAATAGCAGAGGAGACAGCATTCCCATGAACCAATCACCTCCCACGAGGTATCTCCCTGAACATGTGGAGATTATGGGGCTTACAATTCAATATGAGATTTGGGTGGGGACATAAAACCTAACCATATCAAGCACTATCTAAGATCAAGAATTTACTTTGGAATCATAAAAGCCAGTGTTCCCCTTTATTTTGGGTCGTTGGGTTGTTTGCAAAGACAGGATCTAAGATCTACCAAAGCAGAATTTTCACTATTTAAGATCTGTAAACAAAAATTTTGTGGACAGCAGGGCAAAGAATTCAGTTGAACATAGCCAGGTTTTCTAAGTAAATTAGAACATTTTAAATTATCCCATAAATTTAATAAATGTTTACTAATAATGTATTAACATCAAACGCTGCTCTAAGCTAGTTGAGAAAGTTATTTAACAAGTTTGAAGTCACTACCACCTGTTTACAGAGTGACTTGAACCTAATCTTTAGCCCAGAAAAAAATGAGTCCTGTGGAGAAGTAATCCTGTCCATTTGCACGGTTGTGAAGACAGCAAAGTCAGAACAGGAAGTCTATGCAAGAGAAATAAATGTACACTCTTATTGAAGACTTATTGATTCAGTATTGATCCAGTATTGCTGTAGACTCAGTTCAAGTTAGATCAACCTCTATATTAGGTGATAAATCACTTTGCCTGGTTTTCAATCACCTTTGCCCAATTCTCACTCAAAATGCTCCTTTGCTCTTGCCTTATTCAAGTCTACTATTCTCAAAGCTCATTCTCTTCATGAAATCCACAGATTGACTGCTTTTTTTTAAACTATCATTTTTATCAGACTTCTCCTGTATTTGAAAACTTACAATTATTTCTGATTTCCTGCTCTCAGGTCAGTGCTTAGTGCAGATTTGAGGTGAGCCAAGTTAGTGTGGGCCACTCTAGTCCTGCTCCTTTGCATCCTCTCTTCTTGATAGCAGCTGTTCCTTTCAGTGTACCTCTATGCTGCCTTCTGCTCTAATTTGTGATACTGAAGACTTCAGAATGCTACTACCTTACCTAGTGGAGTTTCCAACTCCCAAGAGGAATCACTTTTAAACTAAAAAAATTGAGCTACAAGTGGACGGTTTCCATGTACCAGTTATCAAGCAAAAGAAAATTTGAAGACTATGTGCACCTTCTAGTTTGCAAGGCAGCACCGTACGATGTGTAAGGCTGATTAATTGATTTCTCTTTATTACAGTTTCTGAACTACTAAAATGAGAATTATGAAAGTTTTTATACAGCTGTTATAGGCATAAATGACTGAATAGTTGTAAATGCTCAGGTCATAAATACTATGTAAGTGTCTAATCATTAGCTAAAAATTGGCATCCAGATATGTCAAGGTGAGAGAATAAGACTTCATGCTAAATTTGAACATGGAGTTCAAGGTCATCCATGATATGATTTCTATCTCTTCCTTCTGTATATACTTCCTACTTACTGCCCTGGGGAGAACTAACCTCTTCCATTCCTACTTCTTTACATAGGACAGACCTAGGCTGACAACTCAACCTGCTTGTCTCTCTTTTGTAACTGTGGATGAGCAAGCTAAGCCAGGAATGGCCCCTCGGTGTATGTCTCTACATTTGTGACGACCAGCCCTCTTCACCCTGCTATCTATTCCAAACTGCTGTGAATGTACTGTACATGTTTCCCTCCAGAAAATGAAATTCAAAGGCAAACAGGGAAATACAGAAGGGAACCCTTGTTAGTTTTTGGTTGTGCTTTAAAAAAAAAAAATTCACATAGTCTGTTGGTCTCTGGATCATAGCTGTTACAATATTCAACAAATTTTTGCTGAGCATCTACTGTGCAATGCCCTAAGCAATGAGATGAGGCAAAAAGAGGGGAGGGTGAGTAAGACAGCTCTTGCCTTCAAGTAGCTTTCTTTTAAAAAACCCATTCTGCTATTTTTGCAGCTCATTAAAATAAAATAAACTATCCAAATAGAGATGTTTGGAAAGCTGATGCATAGAAAATCAAGAATTAAAAATGTTTATGAATCCCAATAATTCTCCCAGGAGGAAGTTTTAAGAATGAAGAGAGAAATATTTACCATTTTGTTAAAACTGTTCTAACATGAGTCCCTTTTTCCACTTGGGCAGAGTTGAAGTGTTAAATCTAAGTCAGCATTAATGGATTTGAAAGAATATGAAGAACTAAGGACTCCTATCTGACCTGGATTCGTAATTAGAACCAGTGCTTCCCTGTGTTATGAGAGACAAGGCCCCTGTCTCTGCCTTCACTTTAGAGAAGTCTTGGTCTAGTTCTCTCAGATTATGTTTTCCCCTCAGAGGAAAGATTTGTGAAGCCAAGGAAACAAGCTCTTTGTCTAAAGGGCATTCCAAGTACCAGGATCCTGAATTTCCCACAATGGTTCCAGTGAACCATCCCAACTGTTGTATGGCCAGGGGGTGCTGTTGCTGTGAGTATGGATGGGGCTTAGCTGTGTGCACTGGCATTTCCCCAAAGGTACAGTGGGGCTCCTCATAGTTCAGGATACAGCAGGGGAAAGATAAAAGAAGGGGGCGAATCAGGGCCATGAGCTGCGGGCTGGCCCTCTACACCACGACCGCATGTGGGAATCTAAGAATTCTAAATTCTGCCTAGTTCTAAATTCTAAATTCTGCCTGGGCTTTTGGATCATGTGAAGGTATGTATTTCAAGGTAGGAAAATAGAATGTGGGTTATTCAACCGTTTGTTAGATTGATTTATAACTTTTGAATATTAGACATATCATTTGTGGGCTTCCATATTTATTCTTCCCCTACCCTCACCAATGTCAGAATATACATACAAAATGGAGTTTGGCTCTGTCTTTCTTCAGGAAATTCCTCCAGGCTCCTTCTGTGAAGCCTGTCTGTGCTCTCCCTCATTTCCTGGACAGTTTCCAGCTTTAGATCTACCTCTCTGTCTCACTTTGTAAGAAATAGACTAGTTTTTTGGATCATTGGTTTGACCTCTGCCCTTGTCTTCTCTCTTACTACCTTTGTATTTTTGTATCCCTAATGTCTGAACCCAGGTGCACTTTACCTCCTTGCTCAACAAAGTCAAGCTCAAATGAGATTTGTATGAGAGCTGGTTACCTATTCAGGGGCTGGGATTAATCAGCTGCCCCATACCTCAATTGTTCTCTGTTATAATGTATAATAAGTCCTTTTCTTGATATATATATACATATAAAGTCCTCAAAAACAAATCCAAGAATTAGCACTGACAAAAGATGTAAATTAAAAAAAGAAAGAAAGAAACTTAGCCAAAAGCCTTTGAAGTCATTAAAGCTTGGAACGACAATAGTGGTAATGCTGAGGTTTATGACCTGCGCAGGTCCATGGCATAGGCAATCTCCATATGTTGCAACTATTATGAATAGCAAAGCTTACCATCAAGTCCATTCTGTTAGACTCTAGAAATGTAAATGGCTTAATAGTTGCTAAAATTAATTAATTGGTTGAATCATTATTTCACTGCTACCACAAATATTCATCTTGCATCTGCCTAATAGATCAGCTGGTCTGTTCCCAAACAAGCCCACCATGGGTTGTTCCACTATATGTAGACATTACACAGCTATTATGGAAAAATGAACTCTTCTTCCTACTTTTCTAGCAACTAAAGCTCCCGCTCAAACACGAACACGTCTCATTTTAACTATATTTGATGTAAATATTTCTAAAGTGTCCTAATTTCCTTAGAGTATACTAATATTCTTTAATCACTCACAAAGTCAATCACTCACCATGTTTTAATCAATTCTGAGATGTACTAAGGAAATTTCAGAGTATAAATGGCAGTCTGTTTGGTTTTGGTTTCTGTATTTGTTCTTTGTAATTTTTTCATGCACTCTCATTCTTTACTTCCATCAATGTGCCTTCCTAGTACCTCTACTCCCTTTAATGTGCTTCTCACCTTTGGACTGGAAAACCACATATGGAAAAACATTTTCTAAAATAGCAGTGAGCATCTGACATATTGTCTATGAAAAAAAAGACATAAATTTAATAGACCAATTTTAAGGCATCTTTTTTGACTATTGGAGATCAGGTTTGATTATTTCCTGTTTTGCAGTTGTATTTAGAAAAAAACTTGTGTAGTGACTAGTTAGTAGGTAAATTAGGTATTATTGAAATATGCTATGAGACATGTCATAAGATAACTGACTAGTTCAGAACATGTGATTTGTTAAAAAGAGGTAAATTCAATGAAAGTAGTTTGATTTAACTGACTATCAATCAGATCAATTCACTCAACTGGCTATGTGTTTGCATTAGTGTTACGTATTTATTTTATTTTCTAAATGCTTTGCAACTCAAACTGGAATATCTAGGAAAACTGTTAAAAATAATTAAAATAGGTTAAAAGATCAGCTTTCAACATGATAGCATGAGGAACTATGCTAGCCTGCTCCTCAGCAAAACTGGAGAATATATATATATTACATATATATTATATATATAATATATATTCTTTTATATATTATATATGGTATATATTCTTTTATATATTATATATAATATATATTCTTTTATATATTATATATAGTATATATTCTTTTATATATTATATATAGTATATATTCTTTTATATATTATATATAGTATATATTCTTTTATATATTATATATAGTATATATTCTTTTATATATTATATATAGTATATATTCTTTTATATATTATATATAGTATATATTCTTTTATATATTATATATATAATATATATTCTTTTATATATCATATATAATATATATTCTTTTATATATTATATATAATATATATTCTTTTATATATTATATATCATGTATATATAATATACAAAATATATATAGATTTTATATATAGATTATTACATAATAGAATATATTATATATTATATATAATATATACATAATATATAATATTATATATGATATAATATATATCATATATATCATATAATATATATTATATATCATATATTATATATAATAATATATAGATTATATATAATTATATATATAATATATATAATTATATATATTATCTATATATAGATAATATATATAATTATATATAATATATTATATAGATTATATATAATTATATTATATACAAAATCTATATATAATATATATTATATTATATATAATATACATAACTATATAAAAAATATAATATATAATATATATAATATATAATATATATACTATATATATTATATATATAATATATATATATATAATGTTTCTGGAAATTGTCCTATTGGTGAACAGCAAATGAAGAAACATCTATTCAATAATCTTTACAAAAATTTGTTAAGAAATTAAGAATTTGTGGTATTTTGACCAAAACCACTTCCTCTTTCTCTCACTCCCAACTCAGTGAGGTAGAGACTCTACTCCAGATTGATGCCACAAAAAACACAGGGCTCACTCTCTCCCAGCACCCAAATAGAGGGCTTTT
Source organism: Homo sapiens (assembly GCF_000001405.40). Lineage (NCBI taxonomy): Eukaryota > Metazoa > Chordata > Mammalia > Primates > Hominidae > Homo > Homo sapiens. The sequence goes on from NC_000002.12 coordinate 59,398,333, forward strand.
TTATTGGGGCTACCATGTCATAGTATACAGGATGTCAGTGTTTCTCATTCTGTTCCCAGTTTCCTGTTACTGAGGCTAAGTCCTGGGAAAGTTTGGTTGAGTGGTAGGGGTTCCCTTTTTGTGCCAAGCCCTCACTTGTGAAATGGAGGCTCCCCCACTGGGCACAGTGTGCTCAGAACACTGAACCCCTGATGACTCTTGCCCCAGCTTGTGAGGCTATGGTTCCGCACTAGGAAAAGCAAGCTGAGAAAACCCAAGGTTTGTGCCACCTTCTCCATGAGGCTTTTGCCTCCTGTATTAGTCTGTTCTTGCATTGCTATAAAGAAATACCTGAAGCTGGGTAGTTTATAAAGAAAATAAATTTAATTGGCTCATGATTCTGCAGGCTGTACAGGAAGCATGGTGCTAGCATCTCCTCAGCTTCTGGGGAGGCCTCAGAAAATTTACAATCGTGGTGGAAGGTGAAGGGGAGCATGAACTTCACTGGAGTACATGGTTGCAGTAGGAGCAAGAACAAGAGCAGGGGAAGTGCTACACACTTTTAAATAACCAGATCTTTCAAGAACTCACTATCAGGAGAATAGCACCAAGAGGATGGCGCTAAACCATTCATGGAGGATCCACTACCATGATCCAGTCATCTCCAACCAGGCCCCACCTCCAACATTGGGGATTACAATTGAACATAAGATATGGGTGGGGACACAGACCCAAACCATATCAAGCTCCTAAATCAGTGATGTCATTAAGAAAGCAGCTTGTCATTGTCTCCATCCCCAGCTTCAGAGCCCTGGTTCATAGATTTAGCCTGGAAAGAGAAACGGGCTATAAAGCAGATAGGATAGCTTCCAGGAAGTAACATCAGCAAGATGGTAAAATAGGAAATCTCAGGCTCCACTTCCCACTACAGAAAGTTCAACTACTAGGTTGATGTAAAAGTAATTGCAGTTTTTGCCACTGAAAGTAATGACAAAACCGTAATTACTTTTGCACCAACCTAATAGCAACTCTTCTCAAGATAGGACATCTTTTTGAAAACCACAACACTTGGAAACAAACTGGAGATATCACATGTTCTGTAGAACTGAATGAAATATAAATTAGAAGGGTAAGAAGAATGATCTCACTCTATGTCAACCCCCTCCCATCCAACCCCATGTCTGCAATGCCAGATGAAGATTTCCCTGGTCCCACAGTTTCTACAGGGAAAAAAGAGAACTGAGAATCAGAGGCAATCATCCAGCTTCTCTAGCATTCCAAGATACTTCTCAGGAAGCCCACTCTTGTCTCATCTCACAGGGAATACTTGGAAAAACGTTACGGCTATAGGGCCTGGGGTCAGGTAGGAACAAAGAAAGGAGACAGAGGTAATTACCCACCTGCAAAGCTGATCTAGTTGCCCTCAGAATCCTGGTGGGAAGCAAAAATTAGCTTGAGTTTCTAGAATGCTAGTTTTTCCACCTAGCCTCAGGGTCCACCTCAATGACCAGACCCAAACAGGGAGACACTGGTCTCTGCTCATTTTGGAATAGCAAAGTAGCTAGACCACATTATTCAGATAGAAGATTGATAAGGAAACATTGGGCTTAAACAACACTTTAGACCAAAGGGACCTAGTAGACATATACAGAGCATTTCATCCAACATTAACAGAATACACTTTCTTCTCAAGTGCACGTGGAACATTCTTCTGGATAGATCACACGTTAGGGCACTAAATATGCATCAGCAAATTTAAGAAGAATGAAACTATATCAAGTATCTTTTCTAACCACAATAAAATGAAACTAGAAATCCATAACAGGAAGAATTTTGGGAAATTCACAAATACATAGAAACTAAACAACATGCTTCTGAACAATTAATGAGTTAATAAAGAAGTTAAAAGGAAAATGTAAAAATATCTTCGAAAAAATTAAAATGGAAACACAACATACCAAAACTTGTAGGATACAGCAAAGGAAGTTCTAACAAGAAAGTTTACAGCCATAAGCACATCAAAAAGCAGAAAGATCTCAAGAAAATGACCTGAAGTTACATAGCAAGTAACTGGAAATTAAGAACAAACTAAGCCCAAAGTTAGCAGAAGGAAATAATAAAGATTAGAGCAGAAATAAATAAAATAGAGACTAAAAAAAATGCAAAAGATCAACACAACTAAGAATTGGTTCTTTGAAAAAATAAAATAGAGAAATCTTTAGCTAGACTAACTAAGAAAAAATGAGAGAAGATCAAATAAAATTAGAAATAAAAGAGAAGACATTAAATTGATACCACAGAAACACAAAAAGAAAATATTACTAAGAAAAATAAAATGCCAACAAATCTGATAACCTAGAAGAAATGAATTTCTAGACACATACCAATGCTATTCTCTAAATGAATAACTTTCTAGACAATCTACCAAGACTGAATAATGAAGAAATAGAAAATCTGAACAAATCAGTAATGAATAAGGAGATTGAATCAGTAATAAAAAGTCTCCCCCAAGAAAATCTCAAGACTTGATGGTTTCATGACTAAATTCTACCAAACGTTTAAAAAGGATATAGTAATAATTATTCTTAAAGTAATCTAAGAAGAAATACTTTTAAACTCTTTTCATAAGGTCAGAATTACCCTGATACCCAACACAAAGACATTACAAAGGAAGGAAGGAAGGAAGGGAGGGAGGGAGGGGAAGGGAGAGAGAGAGAGAGAGAGAGAAAGAAGAAAAGAAAGAGGGAGAGAAAAAGAGAAAGAAAGGAAGGAAGCAAGAAAGGAAAAAAACTAGTGGCCAATATCCTTGATGAAGATATGAAGATAGATGGAAAAATCTTCAGCAAAATGCTAGCAAATAAAATTCTCCAACACATTATATCAAGTGAGATTAATCTCTGGGATGGAAGGATGATTCAACATACACAAGTCAATACATATGATGTATCATATTAACAAAATGAAAAACAAAGACCATATTATCAATTCATTAGGTGCAGAAAAGGTAATTGAGAGAATTCAACATTTTTTTTTGTGATAAAAACTGTCACCAAATTAAGTATTGAAGAAATGTACCTAAACACAATACAGGCCATATTGAAAAGTTCACAGCTAACATTAAAGTCAACAGTGAAAAGTCTTTCCTTAAAGATCTGGAACAAGAAAAGGATGCCCACCCCATCTACCTCTGTTCAATGTAGTATTGGGAGTCCTTGTCAGAGCAATTAGGCAGGAGAATGAAACAAAAGGCATGCAAATAGGAAAGAAAGGAGCAAAATTGTTTACTTTCAGAGAGCAGTCTTTCAGAAATTATTTGCTGATGATATGACATTATATAATAGAGAAAACCCTAAAGACTCCACCAAAAAACTGTTAGAACTAATAAATGAATATAGTAAAGTTGCAGGATACAAAATAAACACACAAAAATCAGAAGAGTTTTTATACACTAATAATGAATCATCTGAAAAATAAATTAAAAGAGCAATCCTATTTAAAAGAGCTAAAAAAAGAAATTATATACTTAGAATAAATTTACTGAAGAAGGTGAAAAACCTGTACACTCAAAATGTAAAACATCAGTGGGAGAAACTAGATACAAATAAATGGAAAAATACCTTGTGTTCATGGATAAGAATAGTTAATATTGTCAAAATATCCATACTGCTCAAAGTGATCTAGAGATTCTATGCAATCACTAGCAAAATTCCAATATCTTTCTTTTATAGAAAAATAAAAAAATCCTAAAATTTGTATGGAGCTGCAAAAAAACCCCAAATAGCCAAGGCAATCAGAAGCTAAGAACACCAAGCTGGAGGTATCACATTACCTGATTTCAAACTATACTAAAAAGCTAAAAATAACAGTAATGATTTTATTTATCTTATTTTTATTTTTTATTTATATATTTATTTTTATTGGAGAGGGAGTCTTGCTCTGTCACCCAGGCTGGAGTGCAGTGGTGTGATCTTGGATCACTGCAACCTCTGCCTCCCAGGTTCAAGTGATTCTTCTACCTCAGCCTTACAAGTAGCTGGGATTACAGACACCCACTACTACTCCCAGCTAATTTTTGTATTTTTAGTAGAGATGGGGTTTCACCATATTGGCCAGGCTGGTCTTGAACTCCTGACCTTCAGTGATCCACCCATCTAGGCCTCCCAGCGTTCTGGGATTACAGGTGTGAGCCAGCATACATGGCCTTATTTTTATTTTTTTAAAACAATGCCTCACTCTGTTGCCCAGGCTGGAGTGCAGTGGCATGAACATGGCACACCGAGGCCTCAATTTCCTGGGTTCAAGTAATCCTCCCACCTCAGTCTCCTGAGTAGCTGAGACCACAGGCACACATCACCATGCCCAGCTGATTGTTTTATTTTTTGTAGAGATGAGGTTTTGCCATGTTGCCCAGGCTAGTCTTGAACTCCTGGGCTCAATCTTCCAGCCTCAGCTTCCCAAAGTGCTTGGATTACAGACATAAGCCACAACCCCCAGCCAAAGCTATAATAATTAAAATAGTATGCTACCAGCAAAAAATAGGAACATTGACCAATGAAACAGAATAGAGAGCCCAAAAATGAACCCATGCATGTAGAGTCAATTGATTTTCAATAAAGTTGCCAAGAACATGCAATGGAAAAAGGACAGTTCCTTCAATAAATGGAGTTGGAAAACTGGACATCTATATATAAAAGAACAGAACTGAGCCCTTATCTCACAGCATATACAAAAAGCTCGAAGACAAAGTCTTCAAATTAACACAATTCAACAAAGACAAAAAAGAATAAGAAAACATAAACAAAGTCTTCAAACAGACTGGAATTATGTTCCATGACCAAACCTAAGAATAATTGGTGTTCCTAAGGAAGTAGAGAAATCTAAAAGTTTGGAAAACATATTCTGGGGAGTAACTGAGGAAAACTTCCCTGGCCTGGCTAGAAACCTAGACATCCAACTACAAGAAGCACAGAAAACACCTGAGAAATTCATGGCAAAAAATCGTCACCTAGGCACATTTCATCGGGTTAAACTAAATTTAAGATGAAGGAAAACATTTTAAGAGGTGTGAGACAAAACCACCAGGTAACCTATAAAAAAAAAAACAAAAAACCTATAAGATTAACAGCAGATTTCTCAGCAGAAAACCTACAAGCTAGAAGGGTCTGGGGCCCTATCTTCAGCTGCCACAAACAAAACAATTATCAGCCAAGAATTTTGTATCCAGCAAAACTAAGCTTCATATATGAAAGAAAGATACAGTATTTTTCAGAAAAACAAATGCTGAAACAATTCACACTATCAAGCCACCACTACAAGAATTGCTAAAAGGAGTTCTAAATCTTGAAAAAAATCCTGGAAACACATCAAAACAGATCCTCTTTAAGCATAAATCTTACAGGACCTATAAAACAAAAATACAATTACAAAACAAAAAATCAAGGTATACAGCCAACAAATAGCATGATGAATGAAATGGTACGTCACATCTCAATACCAGTGTTGAATGTAAATGGTATAAATGCTCCACTTAAAAGACACAGAATTGTAGAATGGATAAGAATTCGCCAAACAACTATCTGCTGCCTTCAAGAGATTCACCTAACACATAAGGACTCACACAAACTTAAGGTAAAGGGGTAGAAAGAGACATTTCATGCAAATGGACACCAAAACCAAGTAGGAGTAGCTATCCTTATATCAGACAAAACAACCTTTAAAGCAAAAACAGTTAAAAATACAAAAAGGAAAATTATATGATGATAAAAGGTATTATCCAACAGGAAAATATCACAATCCTAAACATATATGCACCTATAACGCTGGGGCTCACAAATTTATAAAACAATTACTATTAGATCTAAGAAATGAAAGAGACAGCAACACAATAATAGTGGGGGACTTCAGTACTACACTAAGAGCACAAGACAGGTCATCAAGACAGAAAGTCAACAAAGAAACAATGAATTTAAACTATAGCCTGAAACAAATGGACTTAATGTATATGCAAAGAACATTCCATCCAACAACCACAGAATATACATGCTATTCAACAGCACATGAAACTTTCTCCAAGCTAGACCATATGATAAACCACAAAAGAAGCCACAGTAAAATTAAGAAAATTGAAATTATATCAAGCACTCTCTCAGACCACAGTGGAATAAAACTGCAAATCAACTCTAAAAGGAACCCTCAAAATCATGCAAATACAGGATAAATAACCTGCTCCTGAATGATCACTAGGTCAAAAATGAAATCAAAATGGAAATTAAAAAATTATTCAAACTACACGACAATAGTGACAAAAAACATATCAAAACCTTTGGCATACAGCAAAGACAGTGCTAAGAGGAAAGTTTGTAGCCCTAAATGCCTACATCAAAAAGTCTGAAAGAGCACAAACAGACAATCTAAGGTCATACCTCAAGGAACCAGAGAAACAATAAAAAACCAAACCCAAACCCAGCAGAAGAAAGAAAATACCAAGATCAGAGCAGAATTAATGACACTGAAACAAAATAAACAATATAAAAGATAAATAAAACAAAAAGCTGGTTCTTTGAAAAGAAAAGAAAATTGATAGACCATTAGCAACATTAACCAGCAAAAGAAGAAAGACAATACAAATAAGCTCAGTAAGAAACAAAATGGGAGATATTACAACTGACACCATAGAAATACAAAAGATCATTCAAGGGTACTATAACACCTTTATGTGCATAAACTAGAAAACCTAGAAGAGATGGATAAATTCCTGGAAAGATACAACCCTCTGAGCTTAAATCAGGAAGAATTAGATACCCTGAAAAGGCCAATAACAAGCCACGAGATTGAAATGGTAATTAAAAAATTACCAACAACAAAAAAGCCTAGGACCAGATGTATTCACAGCAGAATTCTACCAGACATTCAAAAAAGAATTGGTACCAATCCTATTGACACTATTACACAAGACAGAGGAAGAGGGAACCCTCCCTAAATCATTCTAAGAAGCCAGTAACACCCAAATACCGAATCCAGGAAAAGACATAACGAAAAAAGAAAACTACAGACCAATATCCCTGATGAACACAGATGAAAAATCCTTAGCAAAATACTAGCTAACCGAATCCAACAACATATCAAAAAGATAATCCACCATGATCAAGTGAGTTCCATACCAAGGATGCAGGGATGGTTTAACATATGCAAGTCAACAAATGTGATACACCAAATAAACAGAATTAAAAATAAAAATCACATAATTATCCCAAATGAAGAAAAAGCATTTGACAAAATCCAGCCTCCCTTTATAATTAAAACTCTCGGCAATATCAGTATAGAGGGATATACCTCAATATCATAAGAGCCATCTATGACAAACCCACAGCCAACATAATACTGAATGGGGGAAAGTTGAAAGCATTCCCTCTGAGAACTGGAACAAGACAAGGATTTCCATTCTCACCACTCCTCTTCAACATAGTACTGGAAGTTCTAGCCAGAGCAATCATACAAGAGAAAGAAATAAAGGGCATCCATATAGGTAAAGGGGAAGTCAAACTGTTGCTCTTTGGTGATGATATGATTGTTTACCTAGAAAACCCTAAAGACTCCTCCAGAAAGCTCCTAGAACTGATAAAAGAATTCAGCAAATTTTCTGGATACAAAATTAATGTACACAAATCAGTAGCTCTTCTATACGCCAACAGCAACCAAGCTGAGAATCGCATAAAAAACTCAACCTTTTTTCCAATAACTGCAAAAAGAAATAAATAAATAAGCACTTTGGAATCCACCTAACCAAGAAGGTTAAAGACCTCTACAAGAAAAACTGTAAAACACTGCGGAAAGATATCATAGACAACACAAACAAGTGGAAACAAATCCCATGCTCATGGAAGGGTAGGATCAATGTTGTGAAAATGACCATACTGCCAAAAGCCACCTACCAAATCAATGCAATTCCCATTGAAATATCACCATCATTCTTCACAGAAATAAAAAAATTTCTAAAGTTCATATGAAACCAAAAAAGAGCCTGCATAGCCAAAGCAAAAATAAGCAAGGAGAACAAATCTGGAGGTATCACATTACCTGATATCAAACTATAAGGCTATAGTCACCAAAACAGCATGATACTGGTATAAAAATAGACACATAGACCAATGGAACAGAATAGAGAACCCAGAAATAAACCCAAATGCCTACAGCAAACTGATCATTGACCAGGCAAACAAAAACCTAAAGTGCTAGGAAAATTGGCTAGCCACATGTAGGAGAATAAAACTGGATCCTCATGTATGACATTATACAAAAATCAACTCGAGTTGGATTAAGGACTTAAATCTAAGACCTGAAACTACAAAAATTCTGAAAGATAACATTGAAAGAAACCCTTGTAGACATTGGCTTAGGCAAGGATTTCATGATGAATAACCAAAGAAAATGCAATAAAAACAAAGATAAATTACCGGGACTTATTCAAACTAAAGAGCTTCTGCACGGCAAAAGGAACAGTCAGCAGAGTAAACAGAGAACCCACAGAGTGGGACAAAATCTTCACTATCTATACATCTGACAAATGACTAAAATCCAGAATCTACAATGAACTCAAACAAATCAACAAGAAAACAACAAACCGATCAAAAATTGGGCTAGGAAAATAAATAGACAATTCTCAAAAGAAGATATACAAATGGCCAACAAACATGAAAAAAATGCTAAATATCACTAATGTTCAGGGATATGGGAATCAAAACCACAATGCAATACCACCTTACTCCTGCAAAAATGGCCATAATCAAAAAATAGTCGATGTTGGTGTGGATGTGGTGAACAGTGAACACTTCCACACTGCTGGTGGGAATGCAAACTAGTATAACCACTATGGAAAAAAGTGTGGAGGTTCCTTAATGAACTAAAAGTAGAACTACCATTTGATCCAGCAGTCCCACTACTGGGTATCTACACAGAGGAAAGTAAATCATTATACAAAGGATACTTGCACATACATATTTATAACAGCACAATTCACAATTGCAAAAATGTGGAACCAACCCAAATGCCCATCCATCAATGAGTGTATAAAGCAACTGATTATTTTATATACATACATACATATATATATATATATATATATATATATATATATATATATATATATATATCCACACGATGGAATAGTACTCAGCCATAAAAAATAATTAATTTATGGCATTTGCAGTGACCTGGATAAGATTGGAGACTATTATTCCAAGTGAAGTAACTCAGGAATGGAAAAATAAACATCTCATGTTGTCACTCATAAGTGGGAGCTAAGCTGTGAGGATGCAAAGGCATAAGAATGACACAGTGAACTTTGGGGACTCAGGGGAAAAGGGTAGAAAGGGGTTGAGGGATAAAAGACTACAAGTAGGGTGCAGTATATACTGCTTGGATGATGGGTGCACCAAAATCTTACAAATTGCTGCTAAAGAACTTACTCATGTAACAAAACACCATCTGTTCCCCAAAAACTTATGGTAATAAAAATACTAAAAAAATTAAAAATAAATTTAAAAAATCAACTCAAAATGAATTAAACACTTAAATGTAAAACCAGAAACTGCAAAACTAGTAGCAGAAAACACAGGAGAAAAACTACATGACATTTGTCTGGGAATTGATTGCTTTTACCCCAAAAGTGCAAGCAGCAAAAGCAAAAATAGACAAATGGGATGTCTTCTGCACAGCAAAGGAAACCATGAAAACGATACAGAAACCACTGTCAGATTGGAAGAAAACATCTGCAAATCATACACATTTGATAAGAGATAAATATCTAAAATATATAAGAAGCTCAAACAGCTCACTAGCAAGAAAAGAAACAAAAGATTTTAAAAATGGACAAGGGATCTGAATAGACATTAAATGTATATATTTTATATATATATATATATATATATATATATATATATATATATGCTCAATGTTGCTAATCATTAGAGAAATGTAAATGAAAACCGCAATGAAATATCATCTCACACCTTCAGAATGGCTATTATCAAAAGACAAAAGATAATTATTGGCAAAAATGTACAAAAAAAAAGGGAACACTCGTATACTGCTAGTATCAATGTAAATTAGTAGAGCCATTATGGAAAACTCTATGGAAGTTCTTCAAAAAACTAAAAATTGTACCATCACATGATCCAGTAAAACAACTTCTGGATATCTACCCAACATATTTGAAATCAGTTTGTCAGAGATGGCTGCACCCCCATGTTGCAGCACTATGCAAAATAGCCAAGGCATGGAATCAACATAAATGTTTATTAACAGATGATTGGATAAAGAAAATGTTATACATATAGTTCATATATATGGTATTTGTAAAAAAGTTCATATATATACTGTTTCATTTCATTCTTATGCCTTTGCATCCTCATAGCTTAGCTCCCACTTATGAGTGACAACATACGATGTTTGGTTTTCCATTCCTGAGCTACTTCACTTAGAATAATAGTGATTATGATTCCAGTCTCATCCAAGTTGCTGCAAAGGCCATTAATTCATTCATTTTTATGGCTGACTAGTATTTCATCATATACACATACCATAGTTTCTTTATCCACTCGTTGATTGATGGGCATTTGGGTTGGTTCCACATCTTTACTATTGCTAATTGTGCTGCTATAAATATGTATGTGCAAGTATCATTTTGTATAACAACTTATTTTCCTCTGGGTAGATACCCAATAGTGGGATAGCTGGATCAAATGGTAGTTCTACTTTCAGGTCATTAAGGAATCACCACACTTTTTTCCATAGTAGTTTACATTCCCACCAACAGTGTGGAAGTGTTCCCTGTCACCGCATCCATGCCAACTCCTCTTACTATTTTTTTTTATAATGTCCATTCTTGAAGGAGCAAGGTGGTATTTCACTGTGGTTTTTATTTGGATTCCGCTGATCATTTGTGATGTTGAGCATTTTTTCATATGTTTGTTGGCCATTTTGTGTATTTTCTTTTGAGAACTGAGAATTCATTTCCTTAGCCCACTTTTTGGTAAGATTGTTTGTTTTCTTCTTGATAAGTTGTTTGAGTGTGTTGTAGATTCTGGATACTAAACTTTAGTCAGCTGTATAGATCGTGAAGATTTTGTCCCACTCTGTGGGTTCCCTGTTTACTCTGCTGACTGCTCCTTTTGCCGTGCAAAAAATCTTTAGTTTAAATAAGTCCCAGCAATTTGCCTTTGTTTTTATTGCATTTGCCTTTGAGTTTGTTGTCATGAAATCCTTGCCTAAGCCAATGTCTGGAAGGGCTTTTCCAATGTTATCTTCTGGAATTTTATAGTTTCAGGTCTTAGATTTAAGTCCTTAATCCATCTTGAGTTGATTTTTGTATAATGTCAGACATAAGGATACAGTTTCATTCTCCTACATGTGGCTAGCCAGTTATCCTAGCACCATTTGTTGAATAGGGTGTCCTTTCCCCACTTTAGGTTTTTGTTTGTCATGTCAAATATCAGTTTGCTGGAAGTATTTGGGTCTATTTCTGGGTTCCCTATTCTGTTCCATTGGTCTATGTGCCTATTTTTATACCAGTATCATGCTGTTTTGGTGACTATAGCCTTATAGTATAGTTTGAAATCAGGTAATATGATGCCTCCAGATTTGTTCTTCTTGCTTAGTCTTGCTTTGGCTATGCAGGCTCTTTTTTTGTTTCATATGAATTTCAGATTTTTATTTCTGTGAAGAATGATGGTGATATTTCAATGGGAATTGCATTGATTTGGTAGGTGGCTTTTGGCAGTATGGTCATTTTCACAATATTGATTCTACCCTTCCATGAGCATGGGATTTGTTTCCATTTGTTTGTGTTGTCTACGATTTCTTTCTGTAGTATTTTGCAGTTTTTCTTCTGGATGTATTTCACTTCCTTGGTTAGGTATATTCTGAAGTATTTTATTTTTTTACAGCTATTGGAAAAAAGGTTGAGTTTTTTATGTGATTCTTAGCTTGGTTGCCATTGGTGTATAGAAGAGCTACTGATTTGTGTACATTAATTTTGTATCCAGAAAATTTGCTGAATTCTTTTATCAGTTCTAGGAGCTTTCTGGAGGAGTCTTTAGGGTTTTCTAGGTAAACAATCATATCATCACCAAAGAGCAACAGTTTGACTTCCCCTTTACCTATATGGATGCCCTTTATTTCTTTCTCTTGTATGCTTGCACTGGCTAGAACTTCCAGTATTATGTTGAAGAGGAGTGGTGAGAGTGGGTATCCTTGTCTTGTTCCAGTTCTCAGAGGGAATGCTTTCAACTTTTCCTCATTCAGTATTATGTTGGCCGTGGGTTTGTCATAGATGGCTTTTATTACATTGAGGTGTGTCCCTTGTATGCCAATATTGCTGAGTTTTAGTCATAAAGCAATGCTGGATTTTGTGAAATGCTTTTTCTCCATCTATTGAGATGATCACGTAATTTTTGTTTTTAATTCTGTTTATGTGGTGTATCATATTTATTGACTTGCATATGTTAAAACATTCCTGCCTCCTTGGTATGAAACCCACCTGATCATGGTGGATTATCTTTTCGATATTGTTGGATTTGGTTAGCTAGTGTTTTATTAATGATTTGTGCATCTATGTTCATTAGGGATATTGGTTTGTAGTTTTCTTTTTTTAGTTATGTCTTTTCCTGGTTTTGGTATTAGGTTGATACTGGCCTCATAGAATGAAACTATTCTCTTTTTTTCTCTATCTTGTGGAATAGTGTCAATAGGATTGGTACCAATTCTTTTTTGAATGTCTGGTAGAGTTCTGCTGTGAATCTGTCAGGTCCTGCACTTTTGTTGTTTGTTTGTTAATTTTTAAATTACCATTTAAATCTTGTTGCTTCTTATTGGTCTGTTCAATGTATCTAACTCTTCCTGGTTTAAGCTTGGAGGGTTGAATCTTTCTGGGAATTTATCCATCTCTTCTAGATTTTCTAGTTTACAGGCATACAGGTGTTCATAGTAGCCTTGAATGATCTTTTGTATTTCTATGGTGTCAGTTGTAATATCTCCCATATTGTTTCTTACTGAGCTTATTTGTATTGTCTCTCTTCTTTTGCTGGTTAATGTTGCTAATGGTCTATCAATTTTATTTATCTTTTCAAAGAACCAGCTTTTTGTTTTGTTTATCTTTTGATTGTTTATTTTGTTTCAGTTGCATTAATTCTGCTCTAATCTTGGTAATTTTCTTTCTTCTGCTGGTTTTGGGTTTGGTTTGTTCTTGTTTCTCTAGTTCCTTGGGGTGTGACCTTAGATTGTCTGTTTATGCTCTTTCAGACTTTTTGATGTGGGCATTTAGGGCTATGAACTTTCCTCTTAGCACCACCATTGCCGTATCCCAGAGGTTTTTTGTTTGTTTGTTTTGTTCATTTGTTTCTCAATATTGTCATTCAGTTCGAATAATTTTTTAATTTCCATTTTGATTTCGTTTTTGACCCAATAATCATTCAGGAGCAGGTTCTTTATTTTTCCTGTATTTGCATAATTTTGAGGGTTCCTTTTGGTACTGATTTCCAGTTTTATTCCACTGTGGTCTGAGAGAGTGCTTAATATTATTTAAATTTTCTTAAGTTTATTGAGGCTTGTTTTGTGGTCTATCATATGGTCTAGCTTGTAGAAAGTTCCATGTGCTGTTGAATAAAAGGTATATTCTGTAGTTGTTGGGTAGAATGTTCTGTAAATGTCTGTTAAGTTCATTTGTTCCAGCATATAACATACATTTATTGTTTCTTTGTTGACTTTCTGTGTTGATGACCTGTCTAGTACCGCTAGTGAAGTATTGAAGTTCCCCACTATTATTATGTTGCTCTCTATCTCATTTCTTAGATCTATTAGTAATTGTTTTATAAATTTGGGAGCTCCAGTGTTAGGTGCATATATGTTTAGGATTGTGGTATTTTCCTGTTGGACAAGGTCTTTTATCATTATATAACTTTCCTCTTTGTATTTTTTAACTGCTGTTGCTTTAAAGTTTGTTTTGTCTAATATAAGAATAGCTACCTCTACTTGGTTTTGGTGTCCATTTGCATGAAATGTCTTTTTCCACCCATTTACCTTAAATTTGTGTGAGTCCTTATGTGTTTGGTGAGTCTCTTGAAGGCAGCAGATAGTTGGTTGGTGAATTCTTATCCATTCTGCAATTCTGTATCTTTTAAGTGGAGCATTTATGCCATTTATATTCAACAATAGTACTGAGATGTGAGGTACCATTCCATTCATTGTGCTGTTTGTTGCCTGTATACCTTGGTTTTTTGTTTTCTGCTTTTTTTAAATTGTATTTTTGTTTTATAGTTCCTGTGAGATTCATGATTTAAAAAGGTTCTGTTTTGATGTATTTCCAGGACTTCTTTTAAGATTTAGGGCTCCTTTTAACAGTCCTTTGAGCAGTTCTTGTAGTTTGGGGGTGATGAATTCTCTCAACATTTGTTTTTCTGAAAAAGACTGTCTCTTTCCTTCATTTATGAAGCTTAGTTTTGCTGGTTACAAAATTGTGGTTGATAATTGTTTTTGTTTAATGAGGCTGAAGATAGAGCCCAGACCCTCCTAGCTTGTAGGGTTTCTGCTGAGAAATCTGCTGTTATCTAATAGGTTTTAGATATAGACATAGATATAGATATAGATATAGATATATAGATATAGATAATGATATACATATAGATTACCTGGTGCTTTTGCCTCACAGCGCTTAAAATTCTTCCCTTAATCTTAACTTTAGCTAACTTGATAACAATGTGACTAGGTGATGATCTTTTTGTGATAAATTTCCCAGGTGTTCTTTGAGCTTCTTGTATTTTGATGTCTAGGTCTCTAGAAAGGCTGGGGAACTTTTCCTCAATTATCCCCCAAATATGTTTTTCAAACTTTTAGATTTCTCCTCTTCCTCAGCAATGCCAATTTTTCTTAGGTTTGGTCATTTAACAAAGCCCAGACATCTTGGAGGCTTTGTTTGTATTTTCTTATTCTTTTTTCTTTGTCTTTGTTGAATTGGGTTAATTCTAAAACCTTATCTTCAAGCTCTGATGTTCTTTCTTTTGGCTGTTCAATTCTATTGCTGAGACTTTCCAGAGCATTTTGCATTTATATAAGTGCATCCATTGTTTCCTGAAGTTTTCATTGTCTTTATTTATGCTCTCATTGAAAAGTTTTTGCTTCACTTTTTGTGTCATTTTTTTTTATTTCCTTAATTTGGGCTTTACCTCTCTCTTGTGCCTCCCTGGTTAGCTTAATAACTAACCTTCTGAATTCTTTTTCAGGTAAATCAGGGATTTTTTTCTTGGTTTGAATCCATTGCAGGTGAGCTAGTGTGATTTTCTGAGTGTGTTAAAGAACCTCGTTTTGTCATATTACCAGAGTTTGTTTTCTGGTTCTCTCTCATTTGGGTAGTAGAGCTCAAGGCTGTTGTTCTGATTCTTTCGTTCCACAGCATGCTCCCTTGATGTAGTATTCTCTCCCTTTTCCTACGTATGTGGCTTCCTGAGAGCCAAGCTGTAGTGGTTGTTATCTCTCTTCTGGATCTAGCCACCCAGCAAATTTACCAGGCTCCAGGCTGGTACTGGGGGTTGTCTGCACAGAGTCCTGTGGTGCGAACCATCTGCAGGTCTCTCAGCTGTGGATAGCAGCACCTGCTCCAGTGGAGGTGGCAGGGGGATGTTGGTTGTTTCATGCACTATTTTTGTGCTAGTAGGCTTCCTGCCAGGAGGTGATACTTTCCAGAGAGCATCAGTTGTGGTCGTATGGGAAGGAATAGGCGGTGGGCGGGGCCCTAGAATCCCAAGAGTATATGCCCTTTGTCTTCGTTTACAGGGTGGGTAGAGAAGGACCATTAGGTAGGGGCAGGGCTGGGCCTGCCTGAGCTCAGACTCTCGGTGGGTAGGTCTTGTTGCAGCTGCTATGTGGGGGATGGGAGTGAGGTTCCCAGGTCAACAAAATTATGTTCCTATGAGGATTGTGGCTGCATCTTGTGTCATGCAGGTTGTCAGGGAAGTGAAGCAAAGTCGGCAGTCACAGGCCTCACCCAGCTCCCATGCAACCCAAAGGGCCGTTTCACTTCCACCATGCCCCCGCAACAGCACTGAGTCTGTTTCCAGGCAGCGGGTGAGCAGGGCTGAAAACTTGCCACAGGCTACCCACCCCCAGCTGCAAAAGTAAGCAGGGCTTTCACTCTTCCCCCAACCTGTGGAGTCTGCACATTGGATTTATGCCCTCCCCTGAGTTCTGGCCAGGAGACTTCTTGATAGATTCAAATTGTTATAAAGCTCAGCTGGAGGTTTCCTTCTCCCTGTGGCCTCTTCCCAGTGCCTCTGGCCACACTCCCCAAGGACTCTTGTGAGGCAAAGGAATATTAGAAAAGACACCAAAAACACAAGCAACAAAAGAAGAAATATATGTAAATTGGACTTCATTAAAAAAAAATTGTGCACCAAAAGACCATTAAAAAAGTGACACCCACAGAATGGGACAGAACATTTACAAATCATGTATCTGATGAAGGGCTTGTATCCAGAATTTATTAAAACAAAAACTTTTATAATAAAATAATAAATGAACACATAACCTAATTAAAGAATGGGCAAAGGATCGGAATAGAAATTTATCCAAGAAATATATGCAAATGGCCAGTAAGCATCTGAAAAGATGCTCAACATCATTAGTTATTAGAGAAAGCAACTCAAAACCACATGAGATTCTACCGCACACTAATTAGGATAGCTAGAATCAAAAGCCAGATAACAACAAATGCTGGTAAGGATGTAAAGAAGTTAGAAGCCTCATACACTGCCAGTGGAAAAGTAAAATTGGTGCAGTCACACCCAACAGATTCCCTGCCCTTATTAGAATACAGATTGTGCTCACAAAGAAAACAACCAGAGAACAAGACCAAGAATTAGGTAAATGGCTTGACCCTCCCCTCCCCCATGAAAGCAGAGTTTGGCAAGAGTAATCAGGGAAGACTGGTTTGTTTGTTTGTTTGTTCGCTTCTTTTTTAAGTGAAAATGGAATTTGTTTGAGAAATGTATTAGATAAGAATGGTATAGCAAAGAATGAAAGGTCAGAAGCAAGAATCAACTTGACCTGAAGGAGGGCTATCTGCTTGCTGGGAAGAGAGAGTTTAATCAAGGGGTGGGAGAGATGGCGATAGATATGAAAGGTGGGTGCCCTGAATATGAGAATTATACTTTATCACCATTGAAGAGTGGCTTCTGATAGAGTTGATCCTAAGAACCCTTTCACTAGGAAGTGATTTTGCTTTGAATATTCAGAGAGGGAAAATTAGGATTTTTATTTTATATCAGTAGGCTATACCTTGAACCAACAGATAAAGTGGAAGACATTTGAATGGATTATCAACATGACAGGATCTCCTTCAGAGCAAATGCCTACATACATAACTAAACAAAATTAGTTTTTAAAACAAAGGTATATTTTAAGGGAGAAAAAGTAACTAGCTGTGAAACCTCTCAACATTTCTTTTCTGGAGCTCACAGAGAGCCCTAGGGCTGTCTTTACAACTACCCAACAAGCTCTTGAAGAGGAACTTTTCCTGTGATTTAATAACACCATTCCCAGAAAACAAAACCTAACTTTTAAAATACTCACTAAGAGAATGGAGGCAGAGGGATATGTTGGTAGCCAGCGAACAATTCATTATCTTTGTGAAAACAAACATGTAAATAATCATTTATTTAATTTCATGAATGAAGAGTGGGCAACAAAGTAAATCCTTTTCAGACACTATGCTGGTGGCGGTAAAAACGCTTTCACCCTACCCTGTGGTCCCACTGACATCGTGGTGCTAAAGTGAAAATACTCTACCCATTCTAATAGGCTGAAAATAAAAATAAACAGCTTAATTATATGGTGGGTGTTTGTGAATGGCTTCCTGAATTTTAAAGTGCTCATGATATGTCTCTATTATCTTCACACACCACAAGCCTTCCTCCCTTGAAGTACTCAATGAATTAAGATTAATGCAACAGATAAGAAGCATCATGTTTTGAACTCTGGTGTCTGTATTTATTTTCATCATTGAAATGGTGGGGAAGTGATAAACACCATGGCAACCTTGTTGCCCATATATTTTCTTGAATGTCATGCTTAGCTCAAAACTTTTACTTCAAATCAGGGGATTGAGAAATACCGGTATAGAAATATTCTATTGGTTTTCTTTGGTTAACTGAGACTGGGAGTTGTAGGTTTTGGGATATGTTACAAGCTTTTGGAGGGTAGAACCATATCTATACCACTTGGTATAGTGCTGCGTTGAAACGAAAGTCTAAGTAACAGCTTCATGAAAACAATGAAAATACAATGTCATGTTACTAAAAACAAAAAAAATTAACTCTTTTTCTCTAAAAGTTAATTGGTGAGCTGTGAGCCAATTGGCCACCTTTTTTTGGAACTATTTTGCATTAAAATTATGGATGAGGAGAGATGTGGGAGGAAGACAAGGAGGATAAAAAGAAAGAGAAAAAAGGAGAACAAAAGGAAGAAGGGAAAAATAAAAAAAGAAAGTCATAAAGAAGAGAAAGAAAGAAGTCCAGAATTTTTACAATTAAGCAAATGTGGTTTTCAAAATGTTCCACCAGGAGCTTATGCATATATTTGAATAAATTGATAACTGGAATTTCTCTTTTTAAGCTGTCCTAGAGACAATTTACTTGTCATAAAAGACAAATAGTCTTATTACATTGTACTGTTTTTTTTTTTTAGATGGAGTGTTGCTCTGTTGCCCAGGCTGGAGTGCAATGGCGCGATCTCGGCTCACTGCAACATCTGCCTCCTGGGTTCAAGTGATTCTCCTTCCTCTGCCTCCCAAGTAGGTGGGATTACAGGCATGTGCCACCACACCTGGCTAATTTTTGTATTTTTAGTAGAGACAGGTTTTCACCATGTTGGCCAGGCTGGTCTTAAACTCCTGACCTCTAGTGATCCACCCACCTTGGGCTCCCTAAGTGCTGGGATTACAGGTGTGAGCCACCGCGCCAAGCCTATGCTGTTTTATAATAACTAAAATGTATTACTTACCATATTCATCTGTTTTAATTGTGAATTACATTCCCCCCCCCCCCACCGCCAAATATCAGTCTGGGATGGTCTTTTGAAAGAAGGGGATGCAAATCTGCAGAAGATACACAAAATTGAATTCTTACCATGTGCACTGAAAAAACAACAACGACAACAAAAAGTGGGTCTGCTGAGAGAGAATAGAAAAGCACATGCACACAGAGAAAGGAGAGATATAGGTGGAGGAAAAGCTCTCCCTGGATTTTTTTTACTCTTTCCATTTCCTGTTTCCTGAAGTCCCTTGGGTTCTAAGAGACACCTTTGTAGCTTTTACTTTGTTTTATCTCAGGTACAGAAGCTTTTCTTATTCATATTTCTCAGTTCATTGTATTCTCTTACTGGCTTATGAAAGACCCCTCTGTTTTATGACCTTACGTATAAACAGAAGTAAGAATGTAAATAAGATATATATATATATATATATATATATATATATATATATATATATATATATATATACACTTCTATTTTTAGTCTCCACTCTCATTCTTCCAACTTCCATAACAACTACTCCAATATATTTAATACATAAGATTGAAATGGAATTTAACATTGTAAAATACATGGTATTTATCTGTATATGGATTTTTGTTTATGTGAGTGACACTGTGCTATAGTTTTAATTGTATTTTTTTATTTCTGTGATTTTAAGATATATTCATGTTGCTGTGTGTATCTATCCACTTGTTACTTCTAACTGCTGCATAGTTACATTCCCTAATGTGAATGTACTACTTTTTCTTTTTTCTTTTTTTTGAGATGGAGTCTCACTCTGTCATTTAGGCTGGAGTGCAGTGGTGCAATCTCGGCTCACTGTAACCTCCGCCTCCCAGGTTCAAGTGATTCTCCTGCCTCAGCCTCCCAAGTAGTGGGGATTACAGGCATGCACCACCACATGTTGCTAATTTTTGTATTTTTAGTAGAGATGGGGTTTCACCATGTTGGCCAGGCTGGTCTTGAACTCCTGACCTCAGGTGATCTGCCTGCCTCGGCCTCCCAAAGTACTGGGATTACAGGCATGAGCCACCGTGACCAGCCAATGTACTACATTTTTTATAGGTGCTTCCTCAGTGTGTAACTAGGAAGTCTTCCATTTTCTGCTACTAAACATAAATTTTACAGTAAACAGCCCAGAGCGTGTCCCATTATGGAAGTTCACTGTATTGCATTGATGAAGCATGAGGTTTATGAATATGACAAAGTTCTGCTAGATGGCTCTCCAGGAGAATACAACAGCTTTACACCTATTAATAATAAAAGCGTAAGAGACCTTATCTCCAACTGTACTAAAATTTGGCATTACACAGCTCTAATTTCTATAAATCTCATGGCTATAAAGTAACATCTCATTCTTAGTTTGACTTTCACTTATTACTAATGAATTTGAACATCTTTTCCTTTTTCTGTTACCATCTACTTTTCTTCTTCTGAGAATTGTGTGCTCATGTTCATTTCTTTTTTGTCAACTGGGTCTTATATTTCTTTTTCATTAATTTGAGTATATGAGTTCTTTATGTATTCAGGATACTAGTTCTATTTTGCAGTATCTTCTTTATCCTTAAACTGATTATTACTTTACTCTGTGGTGTATTTCAATGAACAGATATTCACAGCTTTGAAATAACTTAATTTGTTGTTCTAGAGGACTTTCAAAAAACTTTATAACAGTTGCTTTCCCAAAAGGAAAACCATACAACTCACTCAGGAGATTAGAAGAACATTAAATTAAATAACCAGATATGGTCATTACAAAAAAGGATAGTACCATGTGACTTGCATGCATAGATGATAAATGCCTAACTACAGTATTAATTAACTTTATTTAAAAGTGGATTAAAATGAATATAAAGATATAAATGTTTTATTAAAGGAATTCAAGGATAGTTTAATATCAAAAAATTTACAATTCATTTATACATATTAAAGGAGAAATATAATAGGATTTTATCAAAGAAAATTATGGATAATTAAAAAGAAAAAAAAAACTCTAAAAAACTAGGAGGACTATTTCCTTAACTTGACAAATGGCAAGTAATAAAAACCTACAGACAACATATGCAGAAAAAAAAAAATTAGACGTATTCACTTGAAGACTAGGAATAAGTGTTCCCAGTATCTATTACAATATTCTAGATTTCTAGCGTCTCCATAAAGCAATAAACAAAATATGAGTTATAAAATTAGAAAAGCTAAAACTTTATTAACGTTCCTAGAAAATTAAACAAAATAAAGCAAACAATTAAAAGTAATAATACAATAAACTAGTTTGCCTGACAAAAGATGATTACTCTCCAAAACCTGATAGCATTTATTGACTATGTAAAAAAACAAATAGATATATAATTTTAAATAATAAGATTCATTGACAATTTAAAGAAAACTCTAAATTATTTGGATATTACATTAACAAAAATATACAAGATCTCTGTGGAGAGAATTTTAAATGTATTAAAGGACATAAATGAAGAACCAATTAAACTACATTGCATCATCAATAGATGAGATAGCCTAGCTTTGTAAAGCTATTCTGGTCAAATTATCCTATAATTACAAAATGATCCTTATCAAAACATTGGCTGGATTTTTTTAGAAACTTGACAAATATTATAAAATTAAATGTAAGAATAAACAATGAATCCATAAATACTAAGTCAACTTTGTAAAAGAACAGTCAGAAGTGGGGACTTGCCCACTAAATATTAAGAATTTAAAGCCATTATAATAAAAATGGTTTTGTAATCCTAAAGGGACAGACAGGTATAATTATGGAACATAATTCATTGCTCATAGTTCATAGTCCCCATATGGGGACTTGATAAGTTATAAAAAGGGCAACACAAATCAATGAATATAGGACAAGTTGTGAAGTAGAAGGTCCTAGAAATAACGTCCTCTGTTGCAGCATTTGCAGAATTGGACTCCAGATGGATTAAAAAGTTATATTTGGAAAGATGTCAAGTAATAATTTTGTCACCTGGTGTGAAGAAGAAATGTTAAGGATCCCCAAACCTAGAGAGTGGATCCAAAAATTAGATCTTGTATCTTTGTAATATATCTTCTTTTAAAAATAGAGCAAACAAGCTTGAATGAGTTTCTGTTGTATACACCTTTTTCATCCAATTATGTCAACTCTCAGAACATAAAGATGTGCTACCTCCTGGGATATGTAGCAGACTGAAATAGACTCTGAAGATCTTTTAAAAAGTGAGAATTACAAAATAAATAAAGCATTATTGGATTGAATATCTTAACTCTAAAAGAGACCATTAGGAAGAGAAACCCCTCATGTGACTGTAGACCTTCTGACTTACTAGCATGTGAACCTTTAGACAGTCATTTACATTATTTTATGACTATCCTCTTAAGACTTGGAACAAAGAGCCTGTAGTCAGTGTCAGGGCCCTGGACAGTGCTGACCATGGGATACTGAGCAAGTCATGAACCTTTCGGAACCAATTTTCTCACCCTAGATGAAAATTATAAGACCTGTCTTAACTCTACTCATGAGTGGCTTTGAGACAGGCACGTGCAAATTCTGTGTAGCATAACGTGGTAAATAAAAATATTAGAGTTTGGGCCGGGTGTGGTGGCTCACGCCTGTAATCCCAACACTTTGGGAGGCCGAGGCGGGCGGATCATGAGGTCAGGAGATCGTGACCATCCTGGCTACATGGTGAAACCCCATCTTTACTAAAAATACAAAAAAAATGTAGCTGGGCATGGTGGCGGGCACCTGTAGTCCCAGCTACTCAGGAGACTGAGGCAGGAGAATGGCATGAGCCCGGGAGGCGGAGCTTGCAGTGAGCCGAGATCGTGCCACTGCACTCCAGCCTGGGTGACAGAGCAAGACTCCGTCTCAAAAAAAAAAAAAAAGAAAGAAAAAAAAATATTAGCGTTTGATGCATGAAAGAGACTGGGAGATGACTTTTGAGATGAAACCTGAACAAAAGTTGTTGACTATTTCATCACTTATGTATCATTTTCTTTCCTTAAAACAGATTCTTCAGATTCGCTTGCATTTAAAAAATTTTGTTTCCTCCTGTGGGAAAAGTCCACGTGCACTGCTATTTTTATGCTTCGTCCAATTCAGAATAAAGAGATCTTGAACTTATTTAAAAATAGTTTTAGGTAGAAAAATATCACTGACCGCATCAACACAGCAAAAAATCACTTGGTATGTATTAAGAGAATGAGAGCAACAAACAAAGGCACAGCAATACACCAAGAACAATGTGTGGTACTGGCTCTTGGTCTATAAGGGAAACAATATATATAAATCAAGAGTTAACTAGGAAAGCTATGCAGTACATAAAACCATAAAGCAATGATCTAAGTGTTTTTGGAATTTAGAGGTTATTATAAGATAAGACAGCTTCCTGGAAAAGCCAGACATAGGAGGAAAAATTGAGGAGAGAAGGAAATATGTTGAGAATTCCAGTGTAGTTGAATAAAATCACTGTATCTCCTTCGATGCACCTGTTTGTTTGTAGCACAGGCAATAGAGAACCTATGTTTGGAATCTGCCCTGTCTGTGGCAATTCCAGGAAACATGGAGTGGGGCAAGGAGAGGAGCAGGTGGGTCAGGCTAAATACGTTACTATATTCTTCAAAAAGAAGGAACACATTTCATGATACCTCATTTTAGCATTGGTCCAGAAAAGAGATAATATGCCTCTATGAGTGCAGTCGTAGGTTAATTCAAGTAGCAGCAATAGTATAAAACTAAGACAGTCATTTTATATTTTAAATGTTCTCAGGGCCAAGTAGTGCTTAGCATGACTCTAGCGGGCTCTTCTTAAAGTCAACAGGAATAAAAGATGATTTCAGGTCAAGAAATTGGGCTTTGCCCTTTTTAGCTTAAATTTTTATTCTGGGAAAGCCATGAGAGGTGGAAAAATAAGAGGACTGACTCTCATCATGTTTAGACTAGGATGAGAAGGGGATGCATTGGCAAGTCTTCATAAAAGAAATTAGTTTTGATTGGTGACAGTTTATTTATATACACTGTCCATTCTGTCTTCAGCAAATCTTTTTCTTTCCCTTTTCTCCCTCCTTTCTTCCTTCCTTCCATCCCTTCCTCCTTCCCTCTCTTCTTCCCTCCTTCCCTTCCTTTCTTCCTTCTTTTAATTACTTGATACTTCCTAAGTGCTAGTCACTGTTCTCAGCCTGAGGAATAAAAAGAAACACTTGCCTAAGACATGGTAGCTCAATGAAACTATCTCTTTTCTCATTGATAGCTTTGACAAAGCAATGCAGGATGCATGTGCATGGAAAAGAGGTAGAATATCCTTCTAACCCTCATCAGCTAGTTTTTGATTCCTGCAACTCTCCTGAAGAAGACTGTAGTAATGCATCATGAGGATGTTCTAAGACTGAAGCCTGCAGCAGTGCCTTAACATCTTTATTCTTCTTATCTTAGGTTGTTAATATTCCTGTATCAGTGCCAAAGGAGGCAAAATTTTCATTTTTCTTTTTACACTCTCCAGAATGACATCTGACTTTTTATTTGAGGATAGTAAGTCAAGTTCCTTGGGAAATGGTTTTATTTTTAAGGCCATTAATTCTATGTGCAGCAAATTGTTGACTGCGGAATTGAAAGAGACCTTTGGGTTGATCATCTTGGACAGTTAGTGAGGTAACGAAGGAGCATCATGCTTACTTTAAAGGTTGTAGATGCAGAGCCTATGTAATCACTCAGTTTGTCTAACTTTTTTTCCTTTAACAGATGGGGTCTCCCTATGTTGCCCCAGGTGGAGTACAGTGGCTATTCACAGGTGCAATAATAGTGCACTATAGCCTTGAACTCCTGGGCTCAAGTGATTGAACTCCTCATCCTTGAACTCCTCAGCCTCCTAAGCAGCTGGGACTATAGGCACATGCCACCACACCTGGCCTTAATGCATCTAACTTTTGAGGTTTAATCATTTGCCCCATGTTGCTTTGACAACCTCCAGTGGCTAGTAGCTTATGTATTCCAATTCATTATGTGGCTATTTCTATTGTCAAACTACTCCAGGTACACACAGTATTTTTCCCACGTGCAATAAACATTTCCTTCCTCCTTTTTGTCATTTATTCATTGATTCACAATTTTTTTGTTAATAAGAGTGTATTTACTACATAATTATAGCCATTGTTCCAGGTTCTGACTTTCAGAGCAGCAAAAATGAAGCCTTTCTAATATCTTACACAATTTTAAATGCTGGTTTGAGTTTGGATTTCAATTATTTCAACTCTGGCTCAATTTTCAAACTTTCCCCATCTTAGTTTTCTTCCTCTGGATTAAGAGTCCTCCTTAAAATATGGCACCCAGGACTGAACAAAATATGCCGGATGTGGTCTGAGCTACAGAGTATAGGAAGATTATTACTGGCTGCAATTTAGAAAAAGGGCTTCTACTATTGCAACCTATGAATGAGATTTTTTAAAGCATCTGCCTCACACTGATGGGTCCTATTAAAGTTGTGGTCAGCTCAATCCTCCAGATCTTTTATATGTGAATTTCTGCCAAGCCAAGCCTCTCCATCCTGTATTTATACAATTAATTATTTGAACTTTTATGCAGGACACTGTATTTATCCCTGTTACATTTCATCTTATTGGAATTGGCTCAGAATTCCAGCCCGTCAGAACAATTTTGAATGTTGATTGTTATATTTACTATCCTTTCCAGCTTTGTGCCTTTCAGATTTTATAAGCTTCCTTTCCACACTGTCATCAAAATCATTGGTAAACACTCTCCATGAGGCTGGGTCAGACAGAAATCAAGTGGCCATCTACTAGATGGAGGAGGTTAAAATAAATTATTTAGGTTCTACTGTTGAATTCAGTTAACCCACGTTCACCAAGCTTGCATTTCATCACATACATTAATGTTAGAGGAAATATTATTGAATATTTCATTTAAATCGAGACATTTCTGCAGATTTATCATGATTTGCAACTTTATAATCTTAACGGGGAAAATGTTCATCCATTCATATATGGTTCAAGAAATTTATTAGTGCCTACTATGTGCCGGACATCATTCTGTGTGGAGATATACTGTAGGCCACTATAAGAAATCTGGATTTTAATTGCAATGAGAGATTATTGGAGAATTTATCAGGGATAGAAAAATGATCTCAGTTTCACATTTAAAAGATCACTTTGATATTGCATATAGAATGAATTATAGAGGGGCAAGAATGGAAATAGGGAGACTAGATATGGTGTTATGGTGGTTAATTAAAGGAATGCTGACCTCAGAGACAGAAGATCTAGGTCCTCTCCTAGCTGCACCACTAGGAGAGACTTTTCAGCCCCCTCACCTGGGTTCCCTTATCTACGAAATGAAGAAACAAGGGAGCTTTGTGAAATAACTTCTACAGTACTTACTTACTAGCTCCAACATTCCATGTATATGTGATTGAATCATTACTAGTTGATTTGTTTATGGCCAAACTCAGAATGTTCCATGGCTCAATAACAATATCAACTTCCTTCAGTTTCTGAGATACATATACCTCCCTTATTTCAAAATTAGGAGATCCTCTGGTGTGAAGCCTCCAAAGTTGTAAGGGTTGGATCTCTGAAACAATATCAGTCAATTCTCTACCTGGACCAAACGAGTGGAATTTACTTCAAGTAGCTATGTTCTCCTTTACTAACCCTGACTTAGAAAATAATATTTTATACCATTCAATTGTTTCTCTCTGAAGACCATGCTCCTTGTCTGGAAGGGTATATAGTGAATTAAGAGTTAAACAGTCCTGCCTCCTTCAGATATTATTATATGTTAGCATCACAGCAGATATATTTACTGCTAGCGTTGGGGTTACACAGAGCACAATCTGAATGGAGCTGTTTTAGCCAGAAACAGTTAAAGTGACTTTCTTGCTGTGTAGGCCTACTCACATACCAAGCAGTCTCTCCATTTTCAGGAAGAAGTGCATTTTATCCTGGGTTACATCAGCAACATCCACATCAGCAGCAACATACTGTCCCTGAAATCCATTCAATGTACAGTGTATGTCTGGCACTGAACTAAAAGATTTATGTGCATTATCTTATTTTACAGGGCAGTTTATTTAGACATCCACTCACTCATTTGATTACTATTTACGGTGCACCTCTGATGCACCAGATATTGAGTAAGCACTGGAATGTGGAGGGGGGGGGCGGCGGGTAAACCAAGCAGTCATGTTTCCTGCTTCATGTAATATGTGGCCTGGAGGGAAAGATAATCATTAAACAAGTGATCACAATGAAGTGAGTATTATTTATTTTTTGGAAAATGCAAAGTCTATGAGTGCTCACAGAAAATGGACCTACTAGATGACTCCAAATTTTGCTGTTTTCTGAATATGCCAAGCACTCTTCTGCTGGAGGGTTTTTGATTTCCTGTTCTATTTATCTAAGGTTCTCTCCTAGATATCTGCATGGGCCACTCCCACA
Organism: Homo sapiens; assembly: GCF_000001405.40. Classification (NCBI taxonomy): domain Eukaryota; kingdom Metazoa; phylum Chordata; class Mammalia; order Primates; family Hominidae; genus Homo; species Homo sapiens. The sequence continues at coordinate 59,425,831 of NC_000002.12, forward strand.
TTTTATTTACAAAAATGACACCTTAGTGTTAGGGGCTTTTCCTGCCACTCTACCTATTGAGGCAAGTTCTCTTCCCAGTGATTTCTTTCTACTTGTCCTACCTAATTTTTCATCATATAATTTATTAACACCTAAAAGATATGTATGTCTCCCCTCAATCTACTTTCTAATAAGTAAGTTGCACAAAACCAAGAACTTTATTTTATTCACTGCTATTTTGTGAGAGCTGAGAGTAATACTTGGCCCATATTAGGTTCTTGCTCAATAAATATCAGTTAAATGACTGCTTGATTGAATGAATGATCGAATGGATGAATGTTACATGACTACCTAAGTGAAAGGCTCACATTTGTCATACTGTGCCTTAGATCAGTGCTCTGTGCTCTGCCAGGGACAATATGAGTAAGACTCAAGTATCTGGATAGCTTGTCTCTGGTTGAAACAAGGGACATTTGATATCTGTGTTGAAAGATGACTGTGTAAGTTTAGGATACCTGCACATCTAGGAAAAATAACTGTGAGCAATCATGTAAAAAGAGACAACTAGAAAGTAAAATATTTGTTCCAGACAGGCATTGAGTTGATGAACAAATGCACACATGTCTAAGTGAATGAGTGCAATTCAGTCTTGGTCTATTTCCTTTTGTTAGACGGTGTACAAGATTTCCCTCTTCTTTTGTCCTGTGAACCTCACACCCTTTCCTAGCCAAATCAGTCTCTCTTTTATTTTTGACTCTCTTTCTACATTATCCTGGCCCAGATACCTGTCCATAGAGTTAACAGTGGAAGAGGCTGATAAAAAGAAGGCAGGTTCCAAAGTCAAATAGTAGCAAGGGCCACAGAAAGAGAATTACAAATTAAAGAGTAGAAACAAAGAAAATCAGCCATATGAGAACCAGAATGTGGCCTTAAGAAAGCAACATTTGGGGAAGGGCAGGAGCAAGAGCAGTCTCTTTTCCAAGCCATAAGCGGGCTAGAAAACAAACCAACTTGACGGGGAGATAGTATCCCCATGGAGAAAAGGGCAGAACCAGAAGTGATGGTATCAACGCTTGGGAAAAAGCAGTCCTCAAATGAGAGGGCACATCTGGCTTTCGGAAATCAAAAGAAGCAGAGGAACAGCACAGTCAAAGTGAAGTCTGCGGGGACCCCAGCAGACCACCTAGGGTGACCCAGTAACCAGAAGGAGAAGGCAAAGTGCTGGTCTCGGGGAAGGAGGTGGTTTGGGAAATTCAGATTATTGGAGAAAGAATAGCAGAGCCCCTGCGGGATGACAGTCATCTTTCCACCATTACAGATCCGATTTTTCCCTTTGCATAAGAAGGTTCTCCATATATCATTATGCTTTCAACAAGAGGTAACATAAAATGCCTTAGAAGCAGCATTGTTCTTAGGCACCACAGAACAACTGACTAAAAATATTCAAACTCATTTGTCGATCTCATGAAATTAAAAAAGGAAGTCTTTTTTTTTTTTTTTTTTTTTTTTTTACAAAATCCCCACAAATTTCAGCTATTTTGATATGTACATGTGGACAGGGCCCCAACTTGTAGCTTCATTTACCTGAAAAATGCTACAAGCAAAGCGATAGCAGGAAATTATGCCCAAAGAGTGTTTTTAAATGCAAATTTACAAATGAACCTGGGCAGTCAGCAGAGGAAGATCTCTTGGCAGGTAAACATCAACACGAGGCCTTCTAAGTCCATTCCTTGTTTCTTCCTTTAAGAAATATGAGATAATGTTCAGTGAATCACCAGATGGAGAATTTGTTCAGGCAAAATGGCTTTGCAAGTTCTCTTGTAAATCGCCTCTGGCTTCTAAAAAACAGTAGCAAATGTGCCGAAGACTGAATTAGCTAGAACAGAAGTTTCACTTTTTCACTACAAGAATTATCTGGGACTGAGCTAAAACCCGGACTCCTAAAGCTGGAAGGGATGTGAAAAGACTCCGTCAACAAGGCCTCTGATTTCAGTCAGGAAGACTCAAAAAATATATGACATTTAGAACAGGGTAAGGTCCCTTCCAGACTTGAGAGAAATCCAATCCTTTGAGAACCTTGAATTTATAGGAACTAACTTTATCTGTAGGATACGGACACTGAGGGAGAGATATTGCATGATACACATTGCTAAGCCCTTGAAGAGACTCCCACATGGCTCAGGAGTATTGGAAGAAGAGAGACAGCAAGAGATGAGAATCTTCCAGAAACTGAGAAAATTTGTCTTGCTTTTGACATCTTTCAAACCTCCTGGAAGATAAGATTTAATCAAAGAGCCTCCAGCTGAATTGCACAAAGGACAAAGTCTAGGCTGAGTGCTCCACTGGGCCCTCAACTGACCCTTGACCCTTGACCCTCAGGCCATCAATAGCTGCAAGGCTTGCATCTTGAGCACATACCAGATTCTGAAGACTCCTCAGGAAAGGATGCCTTTCTAGAGTACTGCCTTGGAAGTACACCCTACTTTTCCTCCCACACAACCCCATGAGTGGGGACTTGAATGAGTGAGACCCCACTGAGGAAAAGGCGTCTACATTTAAGTCTCCAGAAGTAGAAAAAGGACTTGGCGAAGAAGTGGCGACAAAGGGGGAAGAATAGCATTTGGCTATTTTTGAGCCTTACCTTTAAACAGCTTGAATTAAAATCAGGGCATTGAGTCAAAATTATGGAGCCACCTGGCCAAAATTGACTGAGTTTTACATGTGTTTCCTTCCTTGAAACTAAAGCTTGCACTTTGGGGTGGAGGAGAGACTGAAGGGACTATGGAATGTGTGCAATTTAAATTCTTTTGCATTTAGTGACATTTTCTGGCTAGGGAGGGATTCAGATATTTGGATAATTTCATAAACCATTGACTTTTTAAAAGAGGAATATGAAGAAACATATGCCAATTGAGTTACAAGCTGGGCATAGCTGTGAGATAGATATTAGTTCCTTTTACCAAAATGTGCTTTATGAGGCTTTTAATAGAGATTAAATTGGTGGAAACCAGGTTTTACCTTATTATGGATTTGATAGTTTCCACATTTATCTGCCCAATGTAATGCTGAACTGTTGGACCCAATGCAGAATATTTAACTCTGCATAGATCACCTGTTTCCATTTTAAAAATCAGAAATGACAAATGTCTATATAAAAATCAAAATAATTCATCAATGATTAGTTGTTCCCCTCTATACAAACTCCTCCTGATAACCCTGGTTCTGTTAATGGCCCCAGGGACCACAGTGAGTAACGTGGAGTCACATTCACCTCTATACTCAATTCCCACCTTGGGTTATTCCTCACTTAGCAAAATTCTACCCATTCAGCAAATATTATTGAGTGTTTATCAGTGCTAAAAATTTCTCTCTAGATGGTGATAAGTACTATGAGGAAAGGTTAAGCAGACTAAGGAGAAATAGAATGCGTGGTTTGCTGGGATGTGAGCTTTATAATAGAAGAGTGATCAGGAAGACCTCTCTGAGAAGGTGAGAAACGATCTGAATTTTTTTTTTTAAGGGCAAACAGGACAAAAGCAGGGTTGGTATGCTCATGAATGGTAAGAGATCTCACTGGAGGGAAGTGAGAAAAAGAGTGGTGGAGGACAAAGGCAGAGAAGCAGGCAAGGGCCAGAATATGTGTGAATTTTGCTTTAAGTGTGAAACTAGTGGAGGATTATGGGAGTGAGAGTAACAGACATGGCAAAGTGCTTACCCACAGGGAGCTTATGCTCTAGTGGAAAAAGAAAGATGATTAACAAGTAAATCAGATGTGAGTTAGTTCCTATTTTAAAAGATCATACTACACTGACATTTTACAAAATCATGAATTCATGAGCCCCTAAACTAAGTTTCTAACAAACTTTAGAGGAGCATTATCCATCTTGAACTTTCATCTACATGTTACTTTCTTATCACTTTACAACATGAATTTAATGCTCAGGATGGCGTATGTGTTTTCTAACCCATCTTTGGCTAGAAGATAACATTTGATTTTAAATGGCTTCATTAAATATTGTACAGAATTAATTTTAAGAAGGCTAGCTTTTCTTCAAAAAAATGTTTTATCTATATTTTCTTTTCAACACTGGCTTTTAAGACTGATGAAAATATGACTTATGCTATCAGATGGTACGTTGATCAGCTGGCCTTCCACAAGAAAATACTACAGACTGGGTAACCTAAATAACAGAAAATTTTTTTTAATTTTTATTTTCAAATATTTTATTTCTCATTCTTTTTTTTAATATACTTTAAGTTCTGGGATACACGTGCAGAATACGCAGGTTTGTTACAAAGGTATACACATGCCATGGTGTTTTGCTGCACCCTTCAACCCATCGTCTACATTAGGTATTTCTCCTAATGCTACCCCTCCCCTAGCCCCCACACCCCTGACAGGCCCCTATGTGTGATCTTCCCCTCCGTGTGTCCATGTGTTCTCATTGTTCCACTCCTACTTATGAGTGAGAACATGCAGTGTTTGGTTCTCTGTTCCTGTGTTAGTTTGCTGAGAATGATGGTTTCCAGCTTCATCCATGTCCCTGCAAAGCACATGAACTCATCTTTTTTTATGGCTGCATAGTATTCCACAGTGTATATGTGCCACATTTTCTTTATCCAGTATATCATTGATGGGCATTTGGGTTGGTTCCAAGGCTTTACTATAGTGAACAGCGCTGCAATACACATACGTGTGCATATGTCTTTGTAGTAGAATGATTTATAATCCTTTGGGTATATACTCAGTAATGGGATTGTTGGGTCAAATGGCATTTCTGGTTCTAGATCTTTGAGGAATTACCACACTGTGTTCCACAATGATTGAACTAATTTACACTCCCACCAACAGTGTAAAAGCATTCCTATTTCTCCACATCCTCTCCAGCATATGTCGTTTCCTGACTTTTTAATGATCGCCATTCTAAATGGCATGAGATGGTATCTCGTTGTGGTTTTGATTTGCATTTCTCTAATGACCAGTGATGATGAGCTTTTTTTCATATGTTTGTTGGCTGCATAAATGTCATCTTTTGAGAAGTGTCTGTTCATATCCTTTGCCCATTTTTTTGATGGGGTTGTTTGTTTTTTTCTTGTAAATTTGTTTAAGTTATTGTAGATTCTGGATATTAGCCCTCTGTCAGAAGGATAGATTGCAAACAGTTTCTCCCATTCTGTAGGTTGCCTGTTTACTCTGATGACAGTTTCTTTTGCTGTGCCGAAGCTCTTTAGTTTAATTAGATCCCATTTGTCAATTTTGGCTTTTGTTGCCATTGCTTTTGGTGTCATTGCTTTTGGTGTTTTAGTCATGAAGTCTTTGCCCATGCCTATGGACTGAATGGTATTGCCTAGGTTTTCTTCTAGGGTTTTTATGGTTTTAGGTCTTACATTTAAGTCTTTAATCCACCTTGAGTTAATTTTTATATAAGGTGTAAGGAAGGGGTCCAGTTTCAGTTTTCTGCATATGGCTAGCCAGTTTTCTCAACACCACTTGTTAAATGGGGAGTCCTTTCACCACTGATACCACAAAAATACAAACTACCATCAGAGAATACTAGAGACACCTCTATGCAAATAAACTAGAAAATCTAGAAGAAACAGATAAATTCCTGGACACATACACCCTCCCAAGGCTAAACCAGGAACAAGTCAAATCCCTGAATAGACCAACAACAAGTTCTGAAATTAAGGCAGTAATTAATAGCCTACCAACCAAAAAAGGCCCAGGACCAGATGGATTCACAGCAGAATTCTAGCAGAGGTACAAAGAGGAGCTGATACCATTCCTTCTGAAACTATTCCAAACAACAGAAAAAGAGGGAATCCTCCCTAATTCATTTTATGAGGCCAGCATCATCCTGATACCAAAACGGGGCAGAGACACAACAATAAAAAGAAAATTTCAGGCCAATATCACTGATGAACATTGATGCAAAAATCCTCAATAAAATACTGGCAAACAGAATCCAGCAACACATCAAAAAGCTTATCCACCATGATCAAGTCAGCTTCATCCCTGGGACGCAAGGCTGGTTCAACATGCACAAATCAATAAATGTAATCCATCACATAAACAGAACCAATGACAAAAACCACACGATTATCTCCATAGACGCAGAAAAGGCCTTTGATAAAATTCAACACCCCTTCATGCTAAAAACTCTCAATAAACAAGGTAATGATGAAACGTATCTCAAAATGATAAGAGCTATTTATGACAAGCCCACAGCCAATATCACACTGAATGCACACAAACTGGAAGCATTCCCTTTGAAAACTGGCACAAGACAAGGATGCCCTCTCTCACCACTCCTATTCAACATAGTATTGCAAATTCTGGCCAGGGCACTCAGGCAAGAGAAAGAAATAAAGGGTATTCAAACAGGAAGAGAGGAACTCAAATTGTCTCTGTTTGCAGATGACATGGTTGTATATTTAGAAAACCCCATTGTCTCAGTCCAAAATCTCCTTACGCCAATAAGCAAATTCACCAAAGTCTCAGGATACAAAATCAACTTTCAAAAAATCACAAGCAATCCTACACACCAACAATAGATGAACAGAGAGCAAAATCATGAGTGAACTCCCATTCACAACTGCTACAAGGAGAATAAAATACCTAGGAATACAACTTACAAGGAATTTGACGTACTTCTTCAAGGAGAACTACAAACCACTGCTCAAGGAAATAAGAGAGGACACAAACAAATGGAAAAACATTCCATGCTCATGGATAGGAAGAATCAATATCATGAAAATGGCCACGCTGCCCAAAGTAGTTTATAGATTCAATGTTATCCCCATCAAGCTACCATTGACTTTCTTCACAGAATTAGAAAAAACTACTTGAAAGTTCATATGGAACCAAATAAGAGCCCATATAGCCAAGACAACCCTAAGCAAAAAGAACAAAGCTGGAGGCATCACACTACCTGACTTCAAACTATACTACAAGGCTACAGTAATCAAAACAGCATGGTAATTGTACCAAAACAGATATATAGACCAATGGAACCGAACAGAAGCCTCAGAAATAACGCCACACATCTACAACCATCTGATCTTTGACAAACCTAACAGAAATTTACTATCTCACAGTTCTGAAGGCTGAAAGTATAAGATCAGGGTGCCAGCATGGCTGAGTCCTTGTAAGGGCTTTCTTCCTGGCTACCATCTTGTTGTGTGTCCACATGACCTCTGCTTTGTGCACACATGCAGTGGGGGGTAGAGCAAGTTTTTGGTACCTCTTGTTAAGAGGGCACTAATCTCATCATCAGAGCCCCACACTCATAACAGCATCTAACCCTAATCACCTCTTACTGAAGGCCCCATCTCCAAATATAATTACACTTGGGGTTAAGGACTCAACATCTGAATTTGATGGGGGGATACAATTCAGTCCATAGCAGATGAGAAATATTGATTATATTCTGTTAAAAAATTAGGCATGTGTTCATTTCAGGGTTTGCCATCATATATGCTGATATGATTTGCCTGTGTTCCCACCCAAATCTCACCTTGAATTGTAATAACCCCTATGTGTCAAGGGCAGGGCCAGATGGAGATAATTGAATCATGGGGTCAGTTTCTCCCATACTGTTCTCATGGTAGTGAATAAGTCTCAAGAGATCCGATGGCTTTATAATGGGAGTTCCCCTGCACAAGCTCTCTCTTGCCTGCCACCATGTAAGACATGTCTTGCTTTCCCTTTGCTTTCCACCATGATTGTGAGGCCTCCCCAGCCATGTGGAACTGTGAGTCAATTAAACCTCTTTTCTTTATAAATTACCCAGTCGCAGGTAAGTCTTTAGTAGCACTGTGAGAACAGACTAATACATATGTGAATAAATTAATGAAGGAGGATGTGGGAAGGAATGAGCTAATGCTGCTATTTCTGAACTTCATTTTCTACCATCCTTCTTATCTTGGTTTACTTAATGTAATTAAGGCAAAGGTCAAGAAGAGGCAGCTCTTTCTTCTGTCTCATGTGTCATGAACTCTCCAGTGATGATTATGGAAGATGAAGGCCTCATGTTCTCTCACACTGGAACTCTGAGACCACTTGCAGAAGAAAGGATGGCACTAGCTTATGAATTTCTTGTGTTGTTCCTGAACGTTCCACATACTTTAGCCCTATCTGTTTCTTTCCAGATGAAGAGGCAAAAATCAGACAGTGCTGGATGAAATAAAAACCGATTTAAATTCTCATTGCTCTCCAAACCATGGAGATGAAACTGGGTCAAACCATTTGGCCTGAAGCTGCTACTTCTGGATAAAGGGTTCAAAGGGCTGCCCTGAGGCCCATGGTTCTCCAAAGTCCTTGCAGCAATGTTTACAGACAGGAAATGGCATGACTCTGAGACAGATGGAGGACGGACTGAGTGAGGAGGGACAGCAAAAGACAAAGATAATTTCTGCAAAAAAATTATTTTTTGCCAATCCTTTTGTCAGTGACTTTTTTTTTTTCATGTGTAAGTTTATTACTTTCTTTCCATGCAGCTCAACCACTATTCTAGCTGGGAAGAACTAGAAGGTTCCTTTAAACAAAGGAAATCACAGGAGTGGAGCTTGGAGGTGCTTTGAGTTCTCTGACACTCAAAGAAGTGAAATACCAGCACTTGGCTTTGGTTTGAAGATGCTTATGTGTTTTTGTTTTATTTTAATTTCTTTTGGGGTGATGGTGGAATGAGAGGTTGAATGAAGAAGAAGAGGAAGGCAAGCACCCAGCTTACCAACTAAGCCCAGAGAATTAGAAGCCCTAAGCAGTGCCAATCCTGTTCAGTTCACCCAAGTGAGAGCCAAATAATAAAATCATGTTACACAATGCAGAAGTCAACTCAGAGCAATGAATACAGAACAAAGGTACTTTGGAATATGCCATCCTAATATTCCTGTATGCGCACTTTAGTGTTCTTAAATGTGTTTCATGTTTAATGAAAGAAACAATGACTTTCAGTGGAGGAAAAAAATAGATCTTTAAATATAATCAGGGCCTTAACCACCTACCTTAGGTAACTGAGAAAAAGCTACTGTACTCTTTATTTTTTAATACTCCAGATATGTAATTTAATGCAGGTCTAATGACAGTCTCAAACATGGGGCTTTAATCGAAATTGTTCAAGCTCAGTGCTGTGACAGGAACTCACAAGCCCCCAACAGTGCTGTCCATTTTCTCAGGTTCTTCAATAGAAAAGGAAAGAAGAAAAAAACCTCTTGAACTTATGTTGCTATTGATGTGTAATATACAATAAAAAAAAGTTAAATTTCAATTACCCACAGGTAATTATAATTTTATTGTTTGACTATACTACAGGGATTTTTGTAATTCCCAAGACTAATAATTTTCTATAATTTTACAGGTTGTCAAATAAACTATTAAAGATTATCTTTGAAAAGGTGTCTGCAATTGTAAGGACATATCATACTGTTCATGTACTGTATTAGTAATTAGAGATTCCTGGATAGTGAAAGATCTGCACTGGGAGCTTACTACCGGGGAGCACATTTTCTCACAGCCGCCTCTAATCTCCCACGGAAGCTTTCAAACTTCTCAGGTATTCTCTTCACTGCTGCAGGATGCACGCTCCCATTTTATTAATATTCTGTAAGCAATCCCAAACAGTTTATCAAGATAAATCTCTACCTCCTGGTGGGAAGAAGTTAAAATTAGAAAGATGGGTCCCACCTATTGTTAAGGAAAAATCCCAGGACCACCTGCAGAATAGGAGGAGCTGGTTTGGAGGGAGTGAGTGGTGAGTGGAGAGTGCTGAGAGATATTGGTTAAGGGATGTGTGTGTGTGTGTGTGTCGGAGGGAGGGAGGCATTGGGACCAAGAACAGAAAGGTTTTGGGTCCAAGAGAGTTATATAGTTACTTCTACCAATAACTGTTACACTCTATGATATCAAATTAGCTCAACGGTAAGGTTCCTTCTGAAACTTTCTGTTTTGCAAGGCAATTTATTTTTGTGATCTCTCTATATACATTGTGGAGTGTGGCCTCTGGACCTACAGAGATAAATCCTGTCCTTTTGGACTGGGTGTCAATGATCCTTTCTTAGGAAACAGACAGGTATGACTTCCTTATGGAACTCTTGTTCCTCTGTAAACATACCGAGTTGGTCTCCCTGTTTTTAAGCATATTGAACCCTCAGCCTAAATGCCTCCCCCCGCTCTTTCTGTCAAACTCCATCTCACTCTGCAAGACCAGAAGAAATGATGCCTCCTTGGAAAAAATACCATAAACTCTTCTATTTCTATTAAATACTTTCTCTTCTGGGTTCACAGAGGATTTTTTAAAATATCTTTATTATTGAGGCAGGGAGAACCATGTCAGGAACACCATATGCTAGGGAGAGCTAGGACAAAAACAATGGTAGTTACTTGATATCAAGGATAAGAAGTTGAGAATTGGAGAACAAAGATGATTTATTAGAAGACAAGGCTTTGGGGGAAAAATATTACATTATCTGATTAAATTATTGTGAATAGATGTTTGAGGAAGGGATAAAAAGCACCATCAGGTCTTTTGGCCTGTGCCAAGCCCTACATGGGCCTGAGAGTACAGACATTGCATTGTCTTTTAAATCTCAGTTTCTGTCCATCTCTTCCACTAGCCTGTGAATTCCTAATGAGGAAGGATGGTTACATTCATTTTTGTTCCCCTAGCACCTTGTCCAGTAGGTAGTCATCTAATAAATGCTTACTGTCTATAGTCTGAAATGCATAGAACTTGAGCCCTTTTCCTGGCCTTACCATAGTCTCTCTCTACAACCTGTACCAAGATTGAGCCTCAAGTTTCTATATTGTGTTGTATACACCCCATTTCCCACCCTGGAGAGACAGTAGAAACCATTCTTTACTGACACCCTAAGACTTCTACTGGTTGGGTACTTATTGCTTGCATTTCTATAACAGGAGAGGGAAATCAGAGCTCTGCAACCAGAAATAAGTGCAAATACAACAAGGGACAGTAACTAGACAGCTCTTTCTTACTATGGGGTAAATAGTTAACTGGAAACCTTGAAGGAGAGCCCGGTTTGATGAGACAGTAGTTTACTGGTGAGACAAAGTGGCCTGTGGGTATGGGAAAGGGATACTGAGGGAGGAAGCGGGTCATGGAAGGGAAAACAGATAAGAGATAGGTCTTGGGGTCTAAGGCATATTTTTCATCTATACATTTTGCCCAGAGTTTGCCTTGGTAAGAGGAACTGATCATAGCTTGATTTCTACGTTAAAAAAAAAGGACAAAGAAAAGTCAAAGTAAGAAGTAAGGCAATCGTTGTATTCACCTTATGAGACAACAAAGCTTTAAGAAATTTAAAGATGATTGTATAAAATATTTTTCCAAGGCCACACTGCATAGCAACAAAGTGAAAGCCAAGAATGAAATCTCTTGACTTTTAGCCCAGTGCTCTTTCTGCACTTATCTGTTTCCAGTCTTTGTGGTGATGCTTAAAAAGATACGCTGCAACCCACTAAAGAAACATTTCACAATAAAATAATGTTGCTAAGATTCAAATGAACTAGGTCAAAAATATCAAAAATACAGTGTTTAAACAAAGACTATATTTTTTACCAATGCATAATCTCAACATGAATTTCATTTCAACACAATGTAGTCTCCTATTGGCCACTACAAAGGTAGTATTTGTCCTTGCAGTGTAAGGGTTCTGGTAGCTTAAAATTCTAGAAGGTAGAATTATTAAACAAATAGTCCTTATTGCTCCATGTCTTACTTCTTGATAAGTCATTTTGATAACAGTTTCGTGCCCTGAGCTGAAGGCAATGTCAAGGTCAATTATTTCATTCAAGGACCCTAATTAAGACTACTTTTTTGAGGTCAGGAGAATGCATTACCTTATTTTAACAGGAAGAAGATCAAAGCTCTACCTTAAATTTTCCTGATGCAAAGCAATGCTGCTTTAACCTGGCTTGTATTAACAAGGGAGAAAAACTGTTCACTCATTTTGTAGTCCCCCTACTCTACCCCAAAGAGAGTGTTAGGCTCAATGGAAATGAAGTTTATTTAGCCATAGAGACCACCCAATTTCTGCTCTGATTGCATGTACTTAATCCTTTTTTTTAAAAGCTCTATCAGAAACTTGATTTCTATGGAATAAGCTTGTGCTAGCAAAACCAGTTTACCCAGAAACGCACAAATGAGCTGCTTAGCATACTTCTGAGATCCTGATTCCCACAGTCCCTGTGCTGTTGTTGCTGTTGATATTGGATGGAGACTGTAAATGGAAGGTAGGCACCCCCAGATGTGCTTCCTGGAGCCCAAATAAATTCGGAGTGTTTAAAAATCAAGATATTTCCCATAAAATCTTGATTTTTGGATTCTCACAAAAGGAAACCCAAAGATCTAACATTAACCCACATTCTTGAATGGGAACCACTGGCTGGAGCCCCTTTCAGCCCCCTTCAACCCCCTTCAGGACATGGCCCCTTCAGGACATGCACTCAAATTTGCCCTGTTCCTGCTGCTCACTGTTGCAAGGGTTACAAACTGGTCATTGTATTTCGCTTGGATTACAAATTGTTATTATTATTATTATAATATTGTAATGCCTTCAGGTAGGATTTAAATTTGGCAGTTCCACAGGTTCAATATTCCCTACTGCTCTATACCTGGCCAGATTCTCCCATTTATTTTTCCAGCCTGGCATCTGTAGCAGCCCTTCCTGGTGTTCTTGTCCCACGTTTCCTTAGCCCACCTGACCTCCCCTGACCATGAGTAGACAGTTTGCAGCAGCTCACAGCTCTCTACCTCAAAAGCCTACATCTCTCTGCTTTGCCAGAGGGTTTTTCCCAACACCTTTATGCTTATTTTGCAGCAAAGCATAAAGAAGAAATGCTGGGCATTAATGCCCCTGTCGTAGTTTTCTCCTAGTTGGGGAATGAGCATGGGTGGATACACACCTCGGCCTCCCAGCACCTGCAGAATGATTCTGAGGTGTGTTCCACATGGTTTCTCAGAGGGTCCCCAGTGTAATGGAGCCCCATTGCCCACAGCAGTAGTCAGCTCATTAACACATACTTTACTGGCTTTTCTCCCTTCTTGCACTTTTTACCCTTCTTCACTTGAGCTTCCTGGGATCACCTCCCAAATAAACTATATGCACCAAGTCTTTGACTCAGGTTGCTTTCAGAGGAAAACTAATCTAAGACAATATTTACATGTATTCCATGATGAGGCCATCCTAGTAGGTATGCACTGTGAGAATGGTTGATCAGGATTGTGAGGATCCAGGATCCATGTCACAGAAGGAAAATTGGTAGGAACTGTACGGAAGAGACTTAAAAGAAGTCAGATAAAAATAATCAAATTTGGAGAAAATGTCCTAAAAATAGAGATACAACTAACAGGTTAGCTCCAGACGGTAAGATTAAAGCTAGTAAATTTGACCCTAGTGGATGTAGGTTGAATATAAGGACACATTTTTAAATCTTTAGAGCACACCCAAATGGAATAGGCTACTTCATACAGAGGTTCACGTTTCCTTTCAGGGATTTAAAGTAACTAAATTCCCTTCCTTTACACATGCACATGTAATCCATGTTAGTTATACACATTTGTTTAGTATCACAAACACGGGATTACATGCAGGGGAACATTGCTGTTTATCAGGTTGAGTAGCTTTTCAGATTGGGGAAGCTTTTGAGGTTGGAGAAGGAGGAAAAAAGAGATAAAGCTGACATTTGGTAATGGGAGAAGTCTTTAGTTTCCCCACCATTATAGGGATATAATTTACCACCCCCATAAAACCTAGGAATGCCTCAAATCAAAATGCATTTTTCTCTTCACACTAAGAATCTCTTAAGTGCGCAGGAACGCATAAGATCAGGTGAATTATCTATTATCTGAAAGATATTTATGATGTCCAAGGTGGGAGGGCACAGATTCATATCTCCTCCTTACAGGGACTCAGACACGATAGTGAGCCGGTGGGGGGGGGAAATAGCTGAAATGTATGGAAGAACAGACCCTCCTTGCCAGAGGTTACTGTGAATTCAAGTGTTTTCCACTTCTGCCCTTCTTCAAAGCTACAAAGAAATGAGGTAGTCAAATTAATGAAGTATTGTAATAGAAATGGAAAGATTAGAGTGTGCCAAAGAGTGGAATACAGTTTTGTTCTTAAGGGGCACGATAGGAAAGAAGCACTTTGATGTAAGAGACTGGCTGAAGGGGCTATTCAGCTTCAGTGTCACCAAAAAAAAAAAAAAAAAAAAAAAAAAAAAAAAAAAAAAAAAAAACGAATGGATTAGCATGATTTTGTTATCATTACAGATAGGATAATGCATGAGAAAATAGATATTACCAGGCTGTAATTCAATAGAAAATTTCTGATAAACGTAAGCTGCAAGAATCTAGTTCTAGCCAGGGTACATTTTGTCAGAGCCTCCTGTGAATTGAATTACAGCTCTCATAATGGCCAGCAGCCCTCCCACTTATGTTTATGGATTCCAGTCCACCCAACAAAAGTAAAAATTAAATGGAAATTCATTACAAGGGGACATAAAGGCCCTGATGTGACTTGCAAAGTGCTGGTCAATTTTCAGAGAAGGAGCAACTCCAATTGCTACTTAACTCAATATCATGCAATGACACTTAATGCATGTTCCCAAGAAACTTAGGCCTAACTCCAAACGCCGAGATTTGTAAACCTGAGAATGAACATGGTGCTTTGAGCATAGATACAACAAACTGCAAAGTGCCACTCACATCATTCCTCCAGCACCAAGGGCTCCCTCACAGTAACACAACCACTAGGACAATTACGAGATCGGGTGTCAATCATCTGATTCTATCTCCTCAGCATGCCTTGGTGACGTCTCCAGCAGAGGGTACTCGCTTCAATCCCCATGCTGCTGTGGGTGGGCCACAACAACAGATGACTTTTTAAATGACATGCTGTTTCCTGTTCTGCTACTTATGTAAGTTGATTTCGCTGGGATTTTCTTTTGATGATACTAATTCTGCCAAAGATAATTAGGGAACAAGGAAGTCTGCTTTTGTATTCGTGCCTTCGGTATGTACAGATTTAGCATTGGAAGGAAAATGAACTTCACTGAATGAGAAAAGGGAGGAAACTCTATTTTAAAAGAGAAATTAATGCAGCTTAAGCTTTGGAATCACCTGCAAAAGAAAACCTTTTTATTATGATCTCTCTGGTGATATGAACATTGCTTCATTTCTTCAGTGTTTCCTGCTCAGATACAGCCAGCCAATGATATGGGGTTGGTGTTTGTGAAAACAAATGTATTTTTCAATCATCAAAGTCTCTAAGCTGGGGGTAATGATGTCGATGGGTGTCACTCTGAATTATTAATTTTAAAATAGTGTTTCACATGTAACATATTTCCTGAAGAGAAACCCTAAATACAATAATAATTCAACAGCCCATCCTGCTTTTTGGGTAATGTCTTACACAAAACTTTCTGATTGAACTCAAATAAGTCAGTGTTTGTCATAAGACATTCCATGTACTAAGATGGACAGATCTTTTTTTTCTTTCAGATTTTAGGATAGAAAAAGTGGCTATAAAATATCACCCGAATGCAATGTTTTTGTGGGAAGAAATATCACAACCCATCCCAGCAATATCTCCATTTTCTATCAATGTATACATCAGATTGAAAATTACTTGAAAATACTCTGCTTATTCTGTATATGTGCGGTGGCCCCAAATTTGCACAAGGGATATAATAGTCTATTGATTAATATTTTTAGAATTTAATTTTTATATTACCAATTAGAGATTGGAAAATTTGCCTCCTTACCTGATAGAGCCTTTGCCATAACTATTTTAATATAGCTATTTTACAGTAACATTTAACCTTCAACAGTGAATGTGACTTGTAAAATATAAAAGAATTCATTAAGTGTAGGAAGGCAGTTGTTCAATGTTGTACGGTTATAGAATTGGGATAACACAAACAAATTCTGCCCAACAGACCAGATATGATGATGTTTGACAAACTTATAGATATTGCGACTCCTCTAAGTACACACAGATAATGCCAATGAGTTTCAATGAGTATGTGGGTCTGAGAGAGAAGATGAAATTAATATGTAGACAGAGAGACTTCAGAGAAAAGCCAATTATCTTCTCGGCATACTGGCATACTTTGCATATACAAATTAAATATTATGAGTAACTGAGAATTAATTTTATACTAGAATCAATTCTGAATATTGTACTCTCACTTACCTGTTATACTAGTGGGGCATTTTTCATGACAAAAAAATTACTGAAGCTGGCTATTTCTCTAATGTTAGAGTTTCTGAAGAACCAAGTTATATAGAAAGAAGAAGAAGGTAAAGGCTGTGAAGGAAAAAGAGAAGAAACTAACTGCAAGTAAAAAAAATGAAGGCCATATATTTGTTGCTATGATCTGAATGTCTGTGTTCCCTCCTCAAAATATATGTTAAAATCCTAACCCCTAAAGTGAAGGCATTAGAAGGTGGAATCTTTGGACAGTGATTAGGTCATGAGGGCACAACCTTCATGAATGGAATCAGTGCCCTTATAAAAGAGGACTAAGAAAGGTCCCTGGTCCCTTTCACTATGTGAAGACATAGCAAGAAGGTACCATAATGAACAAGAAAGAAGCCCCTCATAAGACATTCAATCGGCTAGCCACCTGATCTTGAACTGACAGGTCTCCAGAACTGAGAGAAATAAATTGATCTTGTTTATTGTGCCACTCAGTTTATGGAGTTTTCTTACAACAGCCCAAATGGATTAAGATATTGCATATGAAATTTAAAAAGCACTTTTTCTCTCCAAAACCAGCTATTGTTCCCTTTTATATAACATTTTATACTTAAAAACAATGTCATTTTTATCTATAATTGAGTTTGAAACATATAAAATGAATATTTGTAAACTCATTATTTGACTTAAAAACTAAAACATTAATAATGCCATTGCTTTTACATGAAGGTCTTCCTCACCTTACTCTCATCTTCCCACTATTCTGAGTTTTATGTTCATTATTCCCTTACTTTAAAAAATTAGTCTTAGTTCACATGTGCATAATACCAAAATACTACATATTAACTATTTCTCGTTAAGCTTTATAAAAATGGTATAATACTGAATAAAGTATTTTATGGCTTGATTTGATCAGTAAATATGTTTTTAGGATTCATATTCTTGCTGGGTACAGCTATTGTTTATTCACTTTCATTGCTTTATAATATTCCATTTTGTGTATATATCATAAATGATTTATGTATCAAATTAGACTGCTAGAGCTGCCATAACAAAATACTGCAGACTGGGTTGCATAAAAAATAGAAATTTATGTTCTCAAAGTTCTGAAAGCTGGAAGTCCAAGATTAAGGTTCTGGCAGGGTTGGTTTCTAGTGAGGTTTTTTTCTTGCTAGATTTCAGAAAGCTGTCCTCGTTGTGTCCTTACATGGCCTTTCCTCTGGGCACACCCCTGGTGTCTCTCTCTTCTTATAAGAACCAGTCCTGTTGGATTAGAGCCCTACTTTTATGATCTTATTGAATTTTAATTCCTTCTTAAAGCCTCAGTCTCCAAATATAGTTACACTGAGTGACAGGGCTTCAACACATGGATTTTAGGGGACACAATTAAAGGCATAAAATGTATTGTCTTCTTGAAGGAATTAGGGTTTGTCCCAGGTTTTTGCTCCAGTAATCAATGCTTCCCTGAACATCCTTGTACATATCTCCTGGGACTAAAGAGTGAGACTTTCTCTAATTCACATAACTGGACATGGAATTGCTGGTCCACAGGCATGAAAATGTTTAAATTCACATACTGGTATCAAATAATTTTCCAACATGGTTGTATCAAGTTTTAGTTCCACCAGCAGAGTCTATGCATTCTCAAGGGTCCGTGTCCTTACCACTAATAGTTATTACCAAACATCTTAATTTTTTCCAAACTAATGAGCATAAAATGTATCTTACGAAGGTCTGTAACATTATTTCCTAAATTATAAAGAATTATTATCATTTTTCATTTGTTTATTCCAATTTGTGTCCTACTTCCTGTAAACTTGCTATTTTATTGTATTTTCCTTTTTTTTCTGTAGTTTTGTTCTCTTTTCATTCTGTTAGTAGACATTTTCTCTACATTTTGTATAAAAATTATTTGCTGGGCTGGGCACGGTGTCTCACGCCTGTAATCTCAGCACTTTGGGAGGCCAAGGCGGGCAGATCACAAGGTCAAGAGATGGAGACCATCCTGGCCAACTTGGTGAAACCCCGTCTCTACTAAAAATACAACAATTAGCTAGGCATTGTGGCGGGTGCCTGTAATCCCAGCTACTCAGGAGGCTGAGGCAGGAGAATTGTTGGAACCCAGGAGATAGAGGTTGCAGTGAGCCGAGATCGCACCACTGCACTCCAGCCTGATGACATAGCTACTCAGTCTCAAAAAAAAAATTATTTCCTGATCATTATATTATTAATATCTTCTTATAATTTGTATCTTGTCATTTTACTCACACTTGACGGACCAAAATTTTAAATTTTAATGCAATCAAACTTATCACTTTTTTTTCCCCAGAGTTTGGTACTTGTTGTATACTGTTCAAAAATTCTTCCCTGCCCTAAGGTGATAAAGATATTCTTTGTGTGTTGTATTTCTTTAAGCCCTTTATTTCAACCCCACTGCAAAAACAAAACAAAACCACTTAATTTTAGCTTTTACAAAATCCTCCCCTCATTTGTGTCACAAATATTTTAGATGAAATATATAAATTGCTGGTTTGAATAAGTTATTTTTGCTCATTTTCTTAGCACCTGCTGGTGGAAATACTATGATAAACTGGATATGGTCCTTGTTCTCAAGATGCTTAATGTCTAACCCAGGAAAGCATGGGTAGAAGCATAATACTAGAGCATATTGTTAGGGTTATAAATAAGAAGGCCCCAAGATCCTAGAACTCTAATTACCTTTAAAGTAATTTAAATCTGAAATTTATTGGATTTATACAATATGTAAAATAATCTTATTTCTCCAAAAACCTTATGAGATTTTTTCCTGTACTGATGTATTTTTAAAATGGCAAAACCACTCTGTATCTTGGAAAGGTGACCTCACTTGCTCTGAAGGACCTGGCCAGCAAGGCGCACATTAGGATTTGATTTAAGGCTGTCGGCTCCCTGAGGCCTTCCACGATATTCCTGCTCCTTCTCCCCCTCCTCATTAAGGAGGGAGCTAAAGCAGGGTAGGACATAAGAGAATTAACTAGGGCTGTGGCATTGGAAATAGGCCTTAAAAGATGGGAAGATTTCAGAAGTCAGTGAAGAGGGTCTTCAGAATGGATTAGTCAGAGAGCTGGTAAGGTGCATGTCCAATTTTGGAGACAGCACATTGTGACAAGTCATCCTTTTTTCAGAAGATGTTGGAATTATAGATACAGGAGTGAGAGGGAAAGGAATATCATTCCAATGACACTACCATAGTCTATAGCAGCAGTCTCTAATCAGGGACCAGTTTCATGGAAGACAATTTTTCCATGAATGGGGGTTGGGGGACAGTTTCGGGATGAAACTGTTCCACCTCAGATCATCAGGTATTGGATTCTCCTAAGGAGCGTGCAACCTAGATCCCTCACATGCACAGTTCACAACAGGGTTAATGCCTATGAGAATCTAATATCACCACTGATCTGACAGGAGGTGGAGCTCAGGCAGTAATGCTCGCTGTCCAGCCAATCACCTCCTGCTGCCTGGTTTGTAACAGGCCACGGACTGGTACCAGTCCTGAGCCCAGGGATTGGCTACCCCTAGTTTATAGGGCACCCCAGCTTCCCTCAATTCTCTTGTCTCAGCTCTCTGTTCTACTTCAGTCTCCCTGGCCTCCTGGCTGCTCCTGAACAGGCTGAGCACAGCCCTGCTTTAAGTACGGTGCGCTTGCTTAACACTTTTCCTTGAATGCTTTTCCCCGTTGGCCTAGAATACATCCTCCTTCCTGTTGCTTGGGCACATACTTAAATGTAACTATTGCAGAGGCTTCTCCTAATTATCTCATCTAAAACAGCAAATCCTCTCTCTCTCTCTCTATCTCTATCCTATACTCTGCTTTAGTTTTCTTCATAGTACTTACTACTAGCCAAGATAGTGTTGTATCATTATTTCCTAACTTATCATTCACTAGGCAAGAGCTCTGGATGACTTTTTAATCTTACCATATCCCCCGTGCCTAGATTTTGCCTGGTGCATAATGTATGATTCACAAATATGTGTTGAATAAATGAAATAACAGAATGAATGATAAATGAATGACTGAATGAATAAATGATGGGCATGAAGGTACTACCAGAAGTTTTAAAGGTTGTGGTATGAACCATGGTTTTGTAAGCAGTCTGTGGCATAAATATAAAGAGGAATAGGAGACACAGGACAAAGAAATCAGAAAGATCATTTATGAAGGTTTTATAATAGCTGGTGGGGAGCCTGGAAGGGGAGAGCCTAGCGGTTCACAGCCTCATTTTGGTGCCAGAGTTCAAATCCCAGTACTAAGGCCTCCTAGCTGAGTAACTCTGGGAAAGTCACTGAGACTTTCTGCCTCCCTCTTTGTCTGTAAAGTGAGGATATATTATCACCTGATTTAGAGGACTGTTGGACAGCTTAAATGAAGTAATGCATTGATTAAATGATTCATAAATAAGTAGTGGCCATCAGTGATAATAAACAAATAAGCTAGGGCAATGTCAGTGGGAACTGAGGAAGGAAATGAGTAAAGAGACATTGAGTAGGAAGGACAAGAAGGCCTTGAGATAACATTGAAATAAAATACCTGAAAAAGACTCAGATTTCTGTTCTGCCTATGGATAATGACAATAACTTTAAGTGAAATCCAGCATGCAGATAAGGAATTAGATCTTAAGTATGTCAGAAGGTAGAAATAGGAAGTAGCACAAAGAGTGAGCTTTGTTTTGCAATGTTTGAGTTGAGATGTACCCACTAATTTTACACGGAGATGTCTAACAAAGATGGAAATGTATATTAAAGGGTGATGACAAACTTTAAGAAGTTATTTTTTTCTGTTCTACAGAAAGATTTCCAATAGAATTTGCGTAGCTTTCTTCCCTTTGTATTTGAAATATGTCTAACTTGGATATTACTGTCTCTCTAAGTTGTATTACTCTAACAAGTATTTTACAATTTCTGCAGCATTCTATGCGTAAGCTCAAAGTTTAACAGGTCAAACTCTATGACCTGACACCTATTCCTAACCCTGTCCCTATGCCTGCTCCCAACCTTTCACTACTGAGGAACTGAATAAAGGATCCTCTGGTCCCATGTAGATTCTGAAGACCTGATTTAAATGTATTACAGAGCTGAACAAAATAGACGTGGAAGGAGCCACCAAGAGGATATGAACAACCCTCCAATTTGCAAACCAGAAAGCTCTGGTTTACCACCCTCAATTTTAACCACATACATTCCTATTCAGACAAAACAGCATGCTCATAGTCATTCAAAAAGCAAAAAAGGGATTGTTAGAAATCTGTAATAAATGTATGTGAGACAGAAAATTAGAAAATGGCCACCTGCCAGCGGCCCCATAAATTTTGGAGGAAATGCATTTTCTACTGGGATGCTTTATCACAGGAATTGCAAATATTTATTAAAAGTATTAAAATAGTCAGAATGTTAAATGCTTCCTCCAGTGGTGAAATTTCACATTGCCACATTAGAAGATGGGATATTCTGATACAGCGTTTATTAAACTGACTTCATTTTATTAGTCTGTCATCTACAATAAATGGGCAGGTACCTTTAAAGCAAGATCTATTATAAATAAAAGAGATGTGGGGAAGGAGCAGCATCTCATTGTGTGAATGGCATTGACTATGTAAGTACTTATCTTGTAACCTTTCCCAAAGGAGGCCACAAGATTTTTGTTGTTCTAGTATATTTTTGTTGCTTGTTGGATTTTGTTATCACATGAAAATCAAAAGTAGTGTTTGCTACTAATGTTCATGCTCTCTCATGCAAGGTACAGTTGAAAACTATTTGAATGGTTAGTGCTTCATGGGCTCTCAGATGTAATTACCAAACATATCTAAGTAAAGATGCTAAATGGACTCCAAATGAACTGAAGATAGAAGGAGGCAGACGAACTTATTGCACAAGGATAATAGAGATGACAGCCAGAGTACATCATTACTGAGTGACACTAAGTTGAAGGGTGACAGGATGAGCTGGACAGATTACCTCCCTAAGAGGCTTGTGGCTCGTGCAAGGCACTGACCTAATAAAGATCTTATGCTATCACCCAGAAAAGATAGAAAGAGCCTTTTCCCATCATAAGACACTCTTCTGTGTAGGTCACAAAATTTTCCCCAAGTTCATCCCATGAAAATGCTGACAGCACTGAAGAAATCTAGGTTAGCTTCAATATGGGGTGGGGTGAAGTGGAGGGAAGGAGATGCAGGGCCTGTTGGGAAGCCAAGTACTTCCTGGAAAGAATAATTAAGAAGCCGTTAGCTTTCAATAGGTGGTTAGAGTGGCCATTTTTTTTTTCCCATTGGAATAGAAGCATTCTCAAAGGTAGGATGGTTGGCATTCTGTTTAAGGTATTTTTCCAGATTAATTAATGGGGTCACTGGATATTTGGGGGAGTCTTTCCTATAAACTAACCACTAATCTTGGTGCTAAGCATCAGAGGTGAACAACAGCAACTCAGCCACTGACCCAAAGATGTGACATTCTAGTGGAGAGCAGGTGGGTGTTTACACATCAGTATATGATAGTTCAGGGGTAATGAGTGCTTTGAAGAAAAGAACAAAACAGGGTCACTGGGAAGAAAGTGACAGATGGGACCAGAAGCATCAGCATCACCTGGGAACTTATTAGAAATACCAAATCTAAGACCCCACACAGTCTACTGACCAGAATCCACATTTTAACAAAGCTCCAGGGCAATGTACATAAGCTTTAAAGTTTGAGAGGCCCTAAAGTAGAAAACAATCTATTTTAGACTTGATATCTTTACACATGGACTTGGCTAGTCCTCTCTCCAATGCTGATAAGATGGCAATGGGGTAGGTATGGGAGGAGAGAGATGGAGCTTGTTTCTTCCTCCAGCTCTGCCAGCTCCATGGTACACTCAGACTAAGAGTCCAGGGATGAATGGTTTTATTTCATTTGACTGAAGAAAAAAAGGCGTATTTACTGACCAATGTGGTGTCATTCATATGACATTACTCTTTCAGTTTCCTTAGTAAAAAATGAGTCGCCTAGTTAAATAATAATAATAAAAGTTTAAAATAAACAATATTGGTTTTTTAAAGAGTAAGACAAATATTTTATAAGCGAATTACAAAAGCTGATTACTTACATTAAAATGAAGTAACACAAATGTTTCTTTTGCAACTTAGTGTCTGTGCATCTCAAAACCTTTGAATTTAAATTGTGACTTTGCCCATTCCTAGTTGGGTGATTCAAGAGTAACTAATTCAAATGTACTGAGCTTCAATATGTTCATCTATTTTGTTTTTAATGGGGAATGCAGAGAGACCTGCAATAAGTGTACTCATGGAAAGATGGAGCCACTGTGGCTTTCTCAAGGAGTAGGTCTGACCTACTACTTCATCTACCCCAGTCATAGTCCTGCATACCAAGGTGAGGAATGTGAAGGACCAGCAGGTGGCATGTTATAACAAGAGGACCTTGCTGGCAATCAGCTGACTTATCTTAGTATCTGAGAACTGTAATTACTGGGCACTGTGGTTTGAGAAACTAAAGTCCATATGTCAGAACTTAAACTTAAAGATAAGGATATCAAAAGGTGAGACCTGATGGAAGGGAATCAGGTCATGAGGTCTCCGCCCTTGTGAATGGCATTAATGCCCTAATACAAGGGCTGAAGGGAACTAGCTAGACCCTGTTGCCCTTCTGCCCTCTTGACATACAACGACAAGGCCAGAAGGCCCTCACCAGACAACGAATCTGCTGGTATCTTGATCTTGGACTTTCCAGCCTCTAGAACTATGAAAAATACATTTCTGTTTGTTACAAAATATTCAGTCTAAAGTATTTTGTTATAGTATCAGAAATGGACTAAGACAGAAACTGGTACTGAGAGTGGCATTTGGCTATAACAAATACATAAAGATATGGAAGTGGCTTTGAAATTGGGTAGTGGGTAGAGGCTGAGCCTCAAAGGGACTATTCTTAGGGGGCTCTGAACAAGAGGAGAGCTATAGAGAAAGCCTTAATCTTTTTTGAGATTACTTAACTGGTCATGATCAGAATGTTGGTAGAAATACAGTCATGTGCTGCATAACAACATTTCAGTTAACAATACAGCATGTACACAACAGTGGTCCTGTAAACTCCATTATAATGGAGCTAAAAAAAATTCCTATATTCCTATTTCCTAGTGATGTAGCCATTGGAACCTTGTAGCAGAACACATTACTCATGTGTGTGTGGTGATGTTGGTGTAAATAAATCTGTGCTTTCAGTCATACACAAGTATAGGACATACAATTATGTACAGTACATAATACTCGATAATGATAATAAATAACTAAATTACTGTATTTACCATACTATACTTTTTATTGTTATTTTAGAATGTACTCCTTCTACTTATTAAAAATAAGAAAGTTAAATGTAAAACAACCTCAGGCAGGTCCTTCAGAAGGTACTCCAGAAGAAGGCATTTTTATCATAAGAGATGACAGTTCCATGCATATTATTACTACTACAGACTTTTCAGTGGGATAAGATGTATAGCTGGAAAACAGTGATATTGATGATCCTGACCATGTATAGGGCTAGGCTAATGTGTATGCTTATGTCCTATTTTTATCTAAAAACTTAAAAAGTAAAAATAATAAATACATAAATAATAGAAGCAAGCTTAGAGAATAATTAACAGAAGGAAAATATTTGTGTACAGCTGTACAATGTGCTTGTGTTTTAAGCTGTGTTATTTAAAATGAGTCAAAAATTAAAAACAACAAAAAGTTTATAAAGTAAAAATGTTACAATAAGCCAAGGTTAATTTGTTAGTATAGAAAGACATTTTTAAAAAATAAATTTAATGTAGTCCAAGTGTATAGTGTTTATAAAGCCTACAGTGATGTACAGTAATGTCCTAGGCCTTCGTATTCACTCACCTGTCATTCATTGACTCACCCAAAGCAATTTTCAGTCATAAAAGCTTCATTCATGGTAAATGTCCTATATAGGTATACCATATTTTTGTCTTTTTACCATATTTTTACTGTATGTTTTCTGTGTTTAGGTATGTTTAGATACACAAGTACATATCATTATGTGGCAGTCACTCACAGTATTCAGCACAGTAACATGCTGTACAGATTTATAGCCTAGAAGCAACAGGCTATACCATATACAGCCTTGGTATATAGTAAGCTATACCATATAGGTTTGTGTAAGTGCACTCTCTGATGTCCAATACAATGACGAACTTGCCCGACAATGTATTTCTCAGACAGTATCCCCATTGTTAAGTGATGCATGATTGTATGGAAGGTAAAGGCAATTCTGATGAGCTCTTAAATGGAAATGAGGAACAAGGTATTGGAAATTGGAGAAAAGGCTATACTTGTTTTAAGGTGGCAAAGAAGTTGTCTGAATTGTGTTCATGTTCTGGTGTTTCCTGGAAGACAGAACTTAAGAGCAGTGAACTAAGATACTTGGCGGAAGAAATCTCTCAGGAAAGTGCTCAGAATGCTTCATTGCTTCTTTCAACTTCTTATAGTAAAATAGAAGAGAGAAATTAAAGATAGGTTTATAATCAAAAGGGAAGCAAAACCTAAAGATCTGAAAAATTCTCAGCCTGGACATGTAAAGAATAAAAAAAGTATGCTCAAGAGAGAAAACTAAGGGTGTGGTCAAGGGAATGTTTGATAAGGAGATTAAATATAGATATAAGGAAGCCAGATGTTCTTAATCAAGACAATGGAAGAATGATCCTGAAGGCATTTTGGAGACCTTTGAAGCTGCCTCTCTCATCATGAGCCTTTGATGGCTGAATGGTTTCGAAGGAGAAGCTCAGGACACCCATGCGATCTTGGGACCCTCTGTCCAGAGCTGCCTCGAGTTTTCGCTCCCGACATTACAGTGTAGCATTCTTTGGCCACCCTAGCTGTGGCACAAGCCAGCACAGGTACAGCTTGGGCTGTCTCTTTGAAAGTATAAGCAGTAAACCTTGTTGGCGTCCACAGGGTGCCAACTCTGCAGGTACTCAGAGTGCAAGAGCTGTGGAGGCACAGCTACCTCCACCAAGATATTAAAGGATGCATTGGAGAGCCCTGGGGCCCAGGCAGAGTACTACCACAGGTTTAAGCCCTGCAGACAGCCTCCACTAGCTCAATGCCTATCAAAGCCATAAGGATGGGGCCACCTCGAGTCTCCATAACTGTAGAGCCACCAGTATGCAGTACCAGTCTGGGAGACCTGGAAGCACCTGACTCCAACTCCTGAGAGCTTCTGCATGGGATGTGCCCACCAAAGCAACAAGAGAAGAGCCCCCCTAAAATGCTGGAGACCCCTGCCCCAGTGTCAGAAGGCAAGACGTGGAGTTGGAGAAGATTATTCTCAAACTTCAAGATTCAATGTTGGTTGCACTGTTGGTTTTGAACACTTGCAAACTGATTCTCCTTTCTTCTTTCCCATGTCTCCTTTTTGGAATGAGAATGTTTATCCTATGCCTGTCCCATTATTGTACTTTGGAAGCACATAGTTTGTTTAATTTCACAGGCTCACAGCTAGAGAGAAAATTGCCTCAGGATGAATCACGCTTGGAGTCTCACCCATATCTGATTTAGATGAGACTTTCGACTTAGACTTTAAAATGGATGCTGCAATAAGTTAAGACTTTGAGGACTATTGGGATAAAATAAATGTGTGTGTGTGTTTTTTTTTTTTTTTTTTTTGAGACGGAGTCTTGCTCTGTCTCCCAGGCTGGAGTGCAGTGGTGCGATCTCGGCTCACTGCAAGCTCCGCCTCCTGGATTCCTGCCATTCTCCTACCTCAGCCTCCCGAGTAGCTGGGACTACAGGCGCCCGCCACCACGCCCGGCTAATTTTTTTTTTTTTGTATTTTTTAGTAGAGACGGGGTTTCACCATGTTAGCCAGGATGGTCTCGATCTCCTGACCTCGTGATCCGCCCGCCTTGGCCTCCCAAAGTGCTGGGATTACAGGCGTGAACCACCATGCCTGGCCAATAAATGTATTTTGTATGTAAGAAGCACATAAACTTTTGGGGTCGGGGCAGAATGTTATAGTATCAATATGTGTCCCTCCAAATTCATATGTTGAACTTAAACCTTGAGGTGATGGTGTTAAGAGGTGGGACCTTTGGGAAGTGATTAGGTCATGAGGCCTCTGCCCTGGTAAATGGGATTAGTTTCCCTTATTAAAGGGCTGGAGGGAGCTAGCTAGGTTTTTGAATTCTTCTACCCTTCCACCATGTAAAGATGCAGCAAGAAGATCCTTACCAGATGCCAAATCTGCTGGCACCTCTCATGTTTTTAAAATAACTTCAGGAATGGACTAAGGTATTGTGTGAACTTAAAAGAATCCAGTGACCTCTGTAGTTTTCTTTCTGGTAAAATAAAAAGATTGAAACGTGTCATTGTTTGGCTCTAAAATTCCAAATTCATTCTTTTAAAAAATTATCTGATTTATTTACAAATAGTTTTGTTGTAGATACTGTTTACTATCCATTCCAGCAATATTCCTTTATGCCAGCCTCCATCATAGAGATTAGAGCCAAAGTGCCTCATTCTTCACTTCCGTCACAGCTGGGGTGGCCGTGGAACTCCGTCCTGGTCAATGTGTTCTAAGTAGGAATCTGCTTTTGCTCTTTTCCCCTTCCTCCTTCTCCCGGTCTGGATCACAAGGAATTCTGGCAGATGCTGTATCACTAAGACACCGTTAAACCGTGGTACCAGTCCTGGATGATCTGTCACTGTACCTCTAGTTATATGAGACTAACGAATTCCCCTCTGTTTGGTTTACACACTGTAACTGAGTTTCTATGTAATCCAAATTGAGGCCAGAATTAGCTGTTTTTCAGGCATTATTCTAAGTTCTGGGACTTCTGCAGTTGTATTTCAGTGTTGGCCAATCTGTTACCTAAATTTGCTTCAGTCTTCTCACCAGGAAATACTAGAAATAATGTCTTCTCAAAGCCCAATAAAGTAAAGGCTTCTACCTAAACTAAGATTACCACAGTACTGAAAAATATCTGTGTTAATTTTTCCTTATGACAAAAGTAATATCAATCTCTGCCTGAACACATGTGTGGGTTGCAGTGTTTCATGTAACCCCTTAGACTACATGCTGTTGTCGTGGCGCAAAGGATGAAGAGAAAAATAGCCTCTACCCATGAATGCCCCAAAGAAGTAGTCTACGTTGTGATTCTTAGATAGCTGAGAAAAATTTGGGGTCTGCAAAAAGTTTCAGTGGAGAAATACATGACAATAAAGGCAAATATTTTCTTAAGTTTTGTTGAAAAAATGAGATACGGTTCTGTGCAAATCTTTCAAAAAGGAATAGGAGCTTTGTGTGTGTGTGCGTGTGTCTCTGTGTGTCTGTGTGTGTGTCTCTGTGTATGTGTCTCTGTGTGTGTGTCTGTGTGTGTTTGTGTGTGTGTGTCTGTGTGTGTGTGTGTGGGTGTGTATGCTTTGAGAGGGCTACTGAAGCAAATGCAGAATGGGAGTCCTCAGGTTATCTCCACTCCTAATACGGAGGGACGGAATGGATGCAGGAAACGAAGAAAAGGATTGACAAAAAATAAGGAAGGAAGGAGAAAATGGAGGATGTGGGAGAAAGAAATTAGGAGGAGATAGAAGGAAGCTGGCAGCGCAAAAGGAGGGTGAGAAAATAATCTACATATGCTGGATACCTTGCTGTTGTAGACACATGCTCTTGTGAGCTCCTCTCAAGCTATTCCCATCACCACTCTAAAGAGATCAATGCTATTATCTCTCTTCTGAAGTTAAGGAAACAAGCTTAGGGAGGAGAAACTTGGTCATGGTCAATGACGGGATCCAAACCTAGGACTATGGGACTATAGGACTCCAGATCCCAGAAATTCTACAGATTTATGAAATCACAATAAGGCCCCTAGCCAAGAATCTCTGAAAATGAGTTAGTTTATTAAATATATATTTATTGAAATACCTATAAAATGGCCTGAGATACACCCATGTGTAGGGGTGGGGAGAAATAAATCCTCTGCTTTAATGAGCTTACCTATGGGGAACAGTTAAACAGGGTATGTTTGAAGTGAAGATTGCTCTTTATATATGGAGGTTAAGAAGAGTTCAATGATAGAGCAGAATTTGAGCAGAGACATAAAATAAATAAGAAAAATTGAGCTATGAGGAGATCCTGGGAAGAATATTTCAAGGAGGCACAAAAACAAGAGCAAAAGGCCTTTAATAACTTAGGATAACAGGGTAGCAGAAAAATATGAACCTATCCGTAATAGTAATTGTTATGCACAAGGAGTGATCAGTTTAGTTACATGGCTACTCAGTGGTGGAAGCATTTTCCGGGAAACACTACAAAATGTATAAAGTATATAAAATGCTCTAAGAATAACTGAGTTGGAGAGGGAAAGACTGGGTCAGAGAAGTTGTTACAAACAGTATTTGCTTAAGTCCTAAAAAATATCTGCTAGTGAACCAGGCTTCCATTGTCTCCAGAGAACTACAGAGAAAAAATACCAAGTAGAGTTATCCACTAGAATTTGAGGCTAGTATTGGGTCAGGTCATATTTTGTGTTTTTGTTCCATTTCCTGCTTGAAGGGTTTCCATATTGTGGTGAATCTGTGTGTGGCTGTAATGGGGGCTTCCATCTGTGATCCTGGAAGAGACAGGTCCCCAAGCATAAGCCTGGTCACTCACTGTCTTGGGAGGAAAACCAATTCAGACCCTGGGCAGAAGGACATCCATATAGCACAACAGATAATCTTCTCAAGACCAGCTGCTCCTTGCTTTTTGGACATGGAATAGGACCCAAATTACTGAATCTGGGAGCAGATCTGTCCTGGGTGCCACATATTGTTTTCCCTCCTGGCAAGAGCAATTCAATGTAGCCTTTTCTGCAAGATGTGCACCAGTGTGACACATCAAAAGAACAGATCCATCAGTGTGAACCTGGGTTTTTGGTAACTATTGAAAAGCCCCTGTCAAAATTACTCTTAGTAATCTGAATCAAATTCCAAGAAGCTTACCTTCTGATTTTGATGTTTCCTGTATTTTCTTGCACCCCTTTCTCCTTGAAATGTGACTCCACCAGAGACCATTTTCCAGAGGTAAGCTCCTTGAGACAAAGGACCATGGCTGATTCTTCTCAGCATTCCCAAGGCCTCACAGAAAGTCAGGCACATAATAGGTACTCAGTGTATTCACTGAAGAGAATTAAAACATGCTTTGAGGGTCAAATCAGCCCCGGTTTATTTGATTTTGTCAAAAGATGAATCATAAACATTTTGCAAGACCCTGAGTGCTAGTTAGATTTTTGAAATCTAGTAAAAAAAATAAAAAATAAAAAAATATATATATATATATGTACACACACACACATATATATAAAATGATGGGCATTTTGGGGGGAATTCAAAGAAGAATAAGACAGAATTTTAGGAAGAGAACATTGCAAGGAGAGAGTCAAAACAGAAGCATATGAGGATGCAAATGGAAAAGCTTAATTTGAATAATGGTTCCAGCACAACAGAAGAACGTCACCAGGCAGGTCACCTTCCATTGCCAAATGAATGGAAAAATAATAAGAGTTAGAGAATTTTGGAGGAGGAAGATTTTGGTCTTCCCGGATGGTCAGAAAAAGACACAGGGATGGGTGGTGGGGGAGAAATACTTGACCTAGCTCTTGGAGGAACTAGTAAGATTTCTATAGCTGGAAGGGAGAAGAGAGGGATAGAACTAGCTTAAGCAAAAGCACAGAGGGAGAGCATTTATCTGTAGAAACTGTGCATCAGAGAACAAAGCAGGGTGGTTAGAGCAGCGTGTCCACACAAGGGGGATTTGTGGGAGAGAATGGGAACACGAAGGTGAGAACCACATTGCCAAGGAACTCGAGGGGCAGTCTAAAACATTTTTCTTAAGCAAACTTTGAGAAGGCCATAGGTCTTTGTCTTGACACTGGAAGAAATTTAAAAAGAAACATATGCATGGCATGATTTCACTTGCAGCCTGATTTAGAAACGTATTATCTAGTTTGCCTCCGCTGTTGCTTTTCCTAATTTCCTCACTGCACAAAGAAAATAAATAAATAAGTGTACTATAGTCTTATTTATCCTTCTTTGGACATTTCTTTACCAGGCAGATGGTCAATTAAGAGCACTAAACAATGACACTGTTTTCTCTGTAAACATTTTTTTTTCTAATAGCCTAACAAATGTAAGTCTGTGCTGCCATACTGCTGAATACCATCTTGACTTTCTAATTACAAAGAACTGTGTCTTGATAGTTACAATTACAGCTGTAACAATGATGCTGGGCCCTGAACAATACCGTTAGAGGCAAAGTGCTTATCTGAATATTCACAAATAAAGTCTTAAATTTATGCCAGAGATGTAGACAGAGGTTAAACAATTGGAAAGGGGGAAAAAAGGTTGAAAACACTGGTTTAATGCTACAGATGTGAATTTGAATCCAATTACTCTGAAAGAAAAAAAAACTTGAAAAGGTGCTGTTTTTTTCTGTTTTATTAATCAATAGGTTAAGGAATAGTTCAACTTAGCACACTAATACCTCTAATTTTGATGTTTGGCTACACTCTAGTATTCTCAAAGCATATTATCTTTTTAACAAAGCGGGTTTTTATAAAGTGCAAATGAGTTTCTCCATGTTAAAATAAAAGGTAACCATTTTTTCAATCAGTTAACCCATACATTAAATAATATATATAATTTTTGAGCAGTTAGTTGACGTGTCTAGTGCTACTTTAATGAAGACGATATAGCACAGTGATAAAGCTCTGTAGGGCTTTGAAGTCAGATGGCCAGGTGTCAGAAACTCTTTTCTCTCTCAATTTCCTCATCTGCAAAATGGTGATAATAATGGCACCTATTTATATAACCATTACCACTGGATTGTAATGAAGTTCAAATGAGTAGATACAAAGCATGAAATAAGGTGTCTGCTTTAGTAAGCATTTAAAAGAGCACAGCCACTGTTGTCATCAAGGAAAGGCACACTTTAGAATGAGCTTTTCAAACTCCAGAATAGGAAGACAAATGCAAGATGTGTTGTAAGAGGTCACCTACATTGAAGAACACCAAGGGTCATTCAGTGTCTCTGTGTTTGGTCACATTCATAAAAAGAATGCTGTCCTATAACTTATGAATGAAGTTATATATAATTGGGCCAATTCAGAATTGTACTTTTCCATTCACTGCATTTTAAAATTTCAGTAGGGAATTTTCTTTCCAGCTCAGGGATGAGAGTTAAGATTGGGATTTAACAGTGCTAATTATACTTTTTTTTTTCTTCAAAAATTATCTACAATCTACGATAATATGAAGACATCAAGTCGCCTGAAAAATGTAGGAACAGCCATGTTCTCAGCCCTGGGTGGAGTAAAAAATGTGATTGTTTATAAGCCTCACTGTTTAGTTAAAATAATATTAACTTATGCTTAATTGTATATGATGTACATGCCATGGCTAAGCCCTTTACATGATAAAACTTATTTAGGCCTCCCAAAAGCTTTGCAAGAGAGGTAATATTTTATTTTCTTCATTTTATAGAGGAGCAAACCAAAACAGACAAGGTAAGAAACTTGATAAAAGACAAACCGTAAATAAAAGACCATAGATTTTTAAATCCCAAGAGCAAACTAATAATGTAAAACCATACAAAGGCCTCGAAGCAAATAGACAAAGATTAAGACCTATTATGTATGTTAAATACTAAATGTTTAGTTCCAGGCTTGGCTATGCTCAGTCACATTGTGAGGAAGACTGCCTCCCTACTAATCATGTCCAGTTCACCTGCACACAGCTGTCACAATGATTTGCATAAGTGCCAATCTAATTACATTATCTTTTCTATGAAAGGCTTCACCAGCTTTCTTATTTGTACAGGATAAAGGCCAAGTTCTTTAGCTTGGCACACTCGAGCCCTGTGACCTAATCCTCATCTTACCTCTGAACATGCCTGCCTCACCGTCTCCTTTCAAGCTGAGAGAATCGCAGTTCCATGAATAGGCCCTGCTGCTTCACACCTTCTTGCCTTTGTCCCCGCTTTCCCTGCTGCCCAGAACAGAGGACAAACATCATTTTCTTTAGAGACCCGCCTTGAGCCCACCAGGTGGCACAGTCCACACTGTCAGCATGTGTTCCCCAACTTCACTCAATGCATCTGAGCCCTGCTATTGCACAATTTATTTTCTCGGTTTTCGCCCTTGATTAGACTTTTAAACTCCTATAGAATAGAGTCTTCTTAACGGCTATTTTATTTCTAGCATCTAGGTCCATGCAAATAAGTATGTACTCCTTGAATGTTGAGTGAATGTAGGAGATTGGAAAGAAATGTGTTTAAAAGGGTCCCAGAAGACTAGAGAAAACCCCACCCAACCTGATTTCACAGTCAGTCTGAAAGAAATGTAAACCAGTGGAGCCACCACACTCTCCCTGCTTATCTAAAATAAGCATTTAGAATACTAACCTTCTGTCTGCCCCTCCTTTCCTCAGAGTGATTTCAAGACCCAAAGATGAATGCTCAGGGCATATGCTTTAGCATCTGATTGGATAAAAAACAGAGACCAATCATTATCTTTGAGATATTAATTTTGCATGGGGGAAGGGGATTTTATTGAGTTAGTTGGAGACCTCATGAGTTTTCTGGTTAGTCTTTGAAGTAGCAGTAGTAGTTATTTCCTTAGGTATGTCATTGTAAATTCCGCCAGACAAAGATGTGTGTCTTCTTCATCTGGGTCTGAATCCACCCATGTGTACCATGCCCAACAGCTATTTGTCAAATGAATGGGTGGGTTAGGCCACTCATTATTGAGAGGAGGAAGAAAAATAACCTGTAGGGTAGGGGTGATAGTTCAGATTCTCTTTATGCAAAGGATAATCTTAGCTCTTCGCACTTTCCCAATTTAGAACAAAAATAGAACTCCATGGGGAGAAAAAGCAAATGCTGAGGTTTTTATTCTAGTAACTGAGGGTAGGTGGTGGTACCTACCAAGATGGAAAGGCTAGAGAAGAATGGTTTGGATTCAGTTAAATTTGGCCATGTTGATTTTGAGAACTCTATTAGACATTCAAGGGAGAGACAGGGTAGGCAGCTGGAGACATAAATCCAGGGCTCAAAGGAGAGGTTACAGTTGAGGTTAGAGATGTGAACTGGGGAGTCAACAACAGCATGGCATTTGCAGAACGGGAATGGGTGTGATGGTATAGGGTATGCATGCAGACAGAGGACATGGGTAAGGCTGGGAGCTGGAGTGTTCTAAAATGTAGAGATTGAGAAAAAGAGTAAAAATCCAACAGAGTAATCTTCTCCCATTTCCATATGAGATGGGTAAGACTGGGAGCTGCAGCGTTCTAAAATTTAGAGATTGAGAAGATGAGAAAACATCCAGCAGAGGAATCTTCTCCCATTTCCATATTAGAAAAATCCTCCTGGCTTCCTGGAGTTTCAGTTAAGATTTCCAAATCTCTCAGCAATGATTTTTAAACATTCATTTTCCCTAGGACAATTCTCTTCAGCTTGGCTTGCCTTCAGAAAACAATCAGGGCGCTTAAATACCATAAAAGTCTCTTCTCTTTCTGATTCCATTCCATCCTGTGCACCATCTCTAGATCAACCCTTCCAGAACAGCATATGTATAATGATAATAGCTACAATTAATACGCTGTGTCTTATTTACCTTAATCTCATGCACATAGTAGGCACTTAGTAGTTTGTGATGTGGCTTGGAGTTTGATTACTTTCCTAAATGCATTCTTAAATCTCTTCCTCCCTATTGATTAGTAAGATTTATTTTATTTCTTTTCTCCTCTGCCTATTTTTAAATATAACGAGAGACCAGTATCTCCAGATAGTGTGTGAAAGCATTTTAATACTTTAATAATTTCATATAATTCCAAATGATCATTTTCCTCCCATACTTTACAATAAATAATAAGCACATAGATGAAAAATATGTGTTTTGTATCCAAGGGAAGAGCTATTAAGTATTACCAAAAGATGGAGAACAGTTTTATCTTAAGTCAGCCACATAAATACCCATTAATTTTTAAAATGATTTTATTTGGTTGATGGAGTATTACATCTTCAAATTACATAGTTTAGATTTCCCATTACATGCTCCTTATAGATCATATGCATATTCACAAAGTTATACAGAAGATTCTGTGATGGGAAGGAGCCAATTTTCATTTTCTCTGTTCTTGTTTGAAGAACCAAAACTGTTAAAGGGATAAAGCACTCAGAAGTGCCTGTTCCAGGTTAATTGTCTCAAATTGCTCATTTAAAGCACCATTATAGTACAGCAAAGCCAGTTAATCTACTCTGAAGCTTCCTTTTTTTTTTATGACCTTAGCTACATTTGGTGAAATGGCACCTTTGGCAAACACCCAAATTGGATAAAATTGCCATTTTTCTTGGAACCTGTAAAGAATAACACATGTTTTGAAATCACTTCATATCATGCAGCTCTAAATGGTAAGCTGCATGTTCGTCTTGCTCTGGAATTCACTGTCTTTGGCATTTTCTGATTTGACTCCAAATTTTCTTTACTAAATTTTCTTTTAATTTGCTTTGCTGATGTGAGTAAATCATGTGCTTTTGCATACAATACACAGGTAAGAGTTGGGAGGAAGGGCGCAGAGGAAACTGGCAAGGAGAATTTTACCAATATTTTTAAACATCACAACTGTATAAAAAAATGATGTGTCCCTGCATTGAACACTTGTGCACAACTTTCAGCTGATGGTACCTTTATTATTGGAAACACTGTAGTTTGAGAGCCTCTTCAATGTCGACATAACTAGCAGGTGCCGTGATCATAATGGTAAAAACATTCACTTATTAATCAGCGCACATAATTCCTCTCTAATGCTGTCAATTTAAGATGGCAACCTGATTTTTTTTTTTTTTTTGGAGTGGGGAGGAGGGTCAACAATTTAATGAATCTCGTCTGCATTTTAATTCCAACCTAATAATCTGCCTCCGGCTCTTTTCCCTCCCTCACTCTGTGAACATTTCTCAGGATCCTGCTATTAAGCACAATGGGATATTTACCTCCTTACCTCAGTTACACATTAAGATAGGGGAAACAGTCAGATAACCAGACCCCCAATCCAAGTAGAACTAATGTTAACCTGTCACCCACCCTCACTGGCACTATCCTCAAATTCCTTTCTCTCCATTAGTACGTATAGAATCTTCTCATTTCCAGATTCTGACACTGTAGTGCTTTTCGGGTTTCTTTTATTAAACACCACTGGGACCTAGAGTCAGAAATATGCAGTATGTTGACATAGTTAAAATAAATAAATACAGCCCATTGCCAGAAATATTAAAAAATTCACCTAAATGTGCTCCTGTCAGAGATGATTTGTTTGCATCCAAACAGGGAAGACTGATGGCTTCAGGATAGACTGCGTAGAGTCTTCATCGATTCATTCATTCCTTCATTCATTCATGCCCTCATTCATTTCCTTATAAAAAAGCAACCCACCACCCCTTGCTCACCATGTCAAATGTAAACAGAATAGACTTTGTTATTAGGAGAGATGTGACTCCAAGTGTCTGAGCCGCAGAGTGACAGCCGGCTCCTCTCTGAATTTCAGGCAGCCTCTGTCACTTGCCTTGACAATGAAGGAAGTTAATATATTCATGACATTACCACACATGCATTCGCAATGCACAGCATATTGTATTGTTTACCCCTGTTCTTTTGTACTACTGCATGTAGTAATTTGCCTTCTAGCAACAGAAAAATTCCTCAACTTAAAATTTTACCCTCATTTTATTTACCCTTAATAGAAAAACCACTGCTTCCTGGCCCATCCATGGTTGGCAACACCACCTTTCCGCAGCATTGCAAACAGATAAATGTCAGATTTTACATTTTGATCAGATGTGTCTACGGTCATTTCCTATACATACTCCTCATCTTCTGCCTCCCACACCTTCCTTCAGCAGTCATTGCTGCCCTTCCTGTGTGCTCTTAGCTCTTTTGGCACTAGGTGGCCAGCTGTCATAGGAGAGAGAATGCAGTGAGAGAAGTGTGCCATAGACTAGCTATCATTCCCTAACAATAAGGTCAATGCTAGTGAAAGTGAAGGGTACCATGAAGGGCCACACTTTTACACAGTATGCCCAGGGTGCTTCTTGTTTTTATCCATTGTAACACATCCTTTGGTTTATCACTCCCAGTGAACTGGATGCATTCCCCAACATGCATAGATAATCACCATTCTTTTAAAACCATTTTTTAAAATCAATTTGTTAATAGGGCATTGATTACTCAGCCTCTTAGGCCTAACTTATTTATTCTGATGGGGTGCAAACTTGTAATAATGTCGAATGTTTAAACAGATTTTTTTTTTAGGATGAGTACTGCATAGAGTGAGTTGTTATTCTCAGATATTGCACTATTGTTTTTCAGAATTTTTCTGTTGGGGGACCAGAACTGAAACATGCTTTGATGGCATAGGGCAACTTTATGGAGATGGCTGGAGGAGGCGAGCAGTCTGGTTAACAAGACACAATGGCTGTTTCATTTTCCTCGCAGTGATGAGCTGTCTGCATTCCAATGCATGTCACAAAATTCCTGGGCTGAGAGAGGCTGTGAGGGGTCACTCAGCCCAACGCCCTGCCTTTCACTAGAATCATTTCTAAAATACCCTATGTTAAGAGTCTTCAAGACAACCTATGCCCCTCAGTCCAACTGAATGTTGAAACCCTTTCTTACAGTAGGCATGATCTCGTCTGCAATTTAAAAGCATCTCCTGTTCTGTTAGGGAAAAAGCATTTGGTGGCTGGCTCTTTATATTCAAACCCTTTCACACTTAAGAATTATAATTGAGTTACATTCTCTGAGATTCTGCTGCTCTTACAGTAGGCTATATAATTCAATGTTTACTTTTGAAACCTCCTGGTTTCTTTGTACTAGTTCTTTATTGTTTTATCTGTGTATGTCTACCCAATTAACTTATAAGCTCATATTGAGCAATAACTTTTATAAACTCTTATTAAGAATAAAATAGAGGCTCTAGAGCAGTGGTTCTCAATTTTGGTTGCATATTACTATGACTTGGAAAGATATTTTAAAATATTGATGCCTGGGCTGCAACCCCAGAGATTCTGATTTCAATGGCCTAGGGTACAATGGGTTATGGTAATTTATTAAAAGCTCCCCCAGGTGATTCTGCTGTACAGCCAGGATCGAGTCTGATCTTGGGAAGATTGCTTAACATCTCTAAACCTTGATTTCATTTTGCAAGAAATGGAGACAATACAGCAACAGCCTATTTCCTGGAGGATGAAAAGAGTTCATGCATGTAAAAGCCTTATGCATAATACCTGGACCAGAGTATATGCTCAAAATACTAATGTTAGTTAGTATCATTATGGTTCAGGTCATTATTGTTATTTGACCTAACATACTTAGCATGTTATTGGAAAACTGAAAGGCACTTAGTAAATGCATATTGACTAATAGCTTCAGGTCATTCTGCCAATTAATTCACATGTACAAGGGAAAAAATTAAGCATATTAAGTAAGTATCCAAATAATTCAAGTCAAAATATAATTTACCTTACATATAAAAATTCTTGAGAAATATGTGTTTTGGGAATTTATGTAGGTAATTTTATCTGTTCACAATTTCTTCATGCATACAAAATAAATGAGTTGACTGTGGCTTGGAAGATTTAAAGTGGACAAATAAAAGGGTAATAATATCCGAAAAGTAAGGTCTAAATACAAAGAATTACAAAGTGCTCAGGACAATCAGATGTTGCTCTCGAGAAGATTTCAGCATTATAAGGGTGACAAGATCATCATTAGAATAACAACAACAACAACTTCCCATATAAAATATCTTATTTCATTGTAGTAGACAAAGCTTACCAGTTATCTGAGAAATCTAGCCACCACCATCTTCCTGTTTTACTGATGAGCAAGCTAAGGCCAAAAAACGTAAAATGATTTGGCTACGAATAGCTATAATGCAAGGTATAATAAATAAGAACCAAACCAAAAAGCTTGTAAGACAAAAAGAACCAATAGAATAAGCAAAACAAGGGACCTGGTTGATGCAAGCATAATGTGCATTAGAAGGGCAATGGATGATAAGATTGGAATAGAAGTTTGGGATCAAATGTTAAAAGACCTTGAATGATAAGCATGGCAGAGATCTTGGAAAAGCCATAGTACAGGCTAATTCTAAAGTACAAGTTTCTTTAAATTGGCCATAAAACAGCTTCAAAACCAATGTTGAGTGGATTGAACTGATACAAAAGTAACTTAAATTACCACCATAAAAAGAAAAAGAAAATAATTCAACACTCTTTAAAAGAAGACAAGAAAATTCATTCACTAAAAAAAATTAATGATAATTTCCAGTATTCAATTCAAAAAAATCACTACACATGTAAATAAGTAGGAAAATGTGACCAATAATCAGATAGAAAATAATTCAATAGAAACAAGACCCAGTAATTACAGAAATGATGAAAACATCAGATAAATATTTTTAAAGAGATTTCTAAATATACCTTAGTCTTTAAAGGAAGCTATGATCATAATGAAACAAAGTAGAAGATACATTACTCCCTCCTTATCTATGGGGGATACATTCCAAGACCCTCAGTGGATGCCTGAAACTATGGATAGTACTGAAAATTATATACACTATGTTTTTTCCTATACATGCATATTCATGACAAAGTTTAATTTATAAATTGGGCACAGTAAGAGATTAATAATAAAAATACAATAATTTTAATAACGTACTGTAATAAAAGCTATGTGAATGTAATCTTTCTCTCTCTCAAAATATCTGATTTTACTGTACTTGCCCATCTTCTTGGGGTGATTTGAGATGACAAGAAGGTCTACACGATGAGAGGAAATGAGGTGAATAACCTAGGCCTTCTGACTTAGTGTTAAGCTACTACTGACCATGAACATGAGCACCGCAATACTACAAAAGTCAATCCAACTAAACCAAGATAGCTACTAAGTGACCAACATGTGGGTAGCATATATATGATAGAGACACTGGACAGAGGGATGATTCATACTCTAGGCTGGACAAAGCAAGAAAGCTCAAGATTTCATCAAGCTATTCAGAACTGTGCACAATTGAAAACTTACAAATTGTTTATTTCTAAGTTCCATGTAATATTTCAGATCACAATTGACTGAAGGTAACTAAAACCAGGGAAAGTGAAACTGCTGATAAGGGGGGCTAGTGTATAAAAAAAGAAAAAAATATAAGTCCTAGAGCTGTAACATATAATATTTGGTATAAAAAACTCTGTAGATTATCTTAATAGCAGATTAATCACTGAGGAAGAAATGATTAGTGAATTTGATGACATAGCAATAGAAACACTAAAACTAAAAGGAAAAATAACTGAGGAAAACATTTAAACTAAAATTACTGATCTGTGGGTCATTTTAGAGTATTCTAAAGTAAGTGGTATTGGAGTCTCAAAATGAAGATCAGAAAAATATTGAAGAAATAATAACAGAAAATTGTCCAAAAATTGATGTTAACAATATAAATTCAAAGTTCTAACCCCCCATTACTGACCTCAAGAAAGATAAACACAATTAAAATCATGCCAAGGCCAAATGTTGTAACCAAATATAGGCATACCCTAGAGATGTTGCAAGTTTGGTTTCAGACCACTGCAAATGTGTATCACAATAAAGCAATTCACATGAATTTTTTTGTTTTTGGTTTCTCAGTGAATATAAAAGTTATGTTTAAAATATACTGTATTCTATTAAGTGTGCAAAAGCAATATGTCTGAAAATATACATATCTTAATTGAAAATGCTTTATTGCTAAAAAAGGCTAATGATCATCTAAGTCTTCAGCAAGTCATAACCTTTTTGCTGGTGGAGGGTCTTGCCTGGATGTTGATGGTTGCTAACTAATTGGGTAGTGGTTGCTTAAGGTTAGGGTGGCTATGGCAATTTTCTTAAGATAACAATGAAGTTTACCACATCAATTGACTCTTCCTTTCCTAAGAGATTTCTCCATAGCATGTGCAATGCTGTTTAACAGGATTTTACCCAGAGTAGATTTCTTTCAAAATTGGAGTCAATCCTTGCAGACTCTGCTGCTGTTTTATCAACAAAGTTTATGACATATTCTAAATCATTTGTCTCCTCTACACTGTTCATGGCATCTTCACCAGAAGTAGGACTCATCTTTAAAATCCACTTTTTTTTTGGTTCCTTCATAGCAAGCAACTCCTCATCCACTCAAGTTTTATCATGAGATTGGAGGGATTCAGTCACATCTTCAGACTTCACTCCTGATTTGAATTATCTTGGTATTTCTACCACATCTGCAATTACTTTCTTCTATGAAGTCTTAAACCCCTAAAAGTCATCCATTAGGATAGGAATCAACTTCTTCCAAACTCCTGTTGATGTTGATATATGGACCCCCTCCCA
Organism: Homo sapiens; assembly: GCF_000001405.40. Lineage (NCBI taxonomy): Eukaryota > Metazoa > Chordata > Mammalia > Primates > Hominidae > Homo > Homo sapiens. The sequence continues at coordinate 59,467,481 of NC_000002.12, forward strand.
TGAATCACAAGTGGTTTTAATAACATCCTTGATCCATGAGTTGCAGAGTAGATGTAGTACTACTATCAGGCATGAAATAAACATTAACTTCTTGTTAATGCTTGTTAATGTTTCTGTCAGAGGTCTTGAGTGACTAAGTGCATTGTCAAAATTGAAAGGAATCTGTTTTTCTGAGCAGTAGATCTCAACCATGGGCTTAAAATATCCCACAAACCATGCTATAAACAGAAGTGTTGTAGTCCAGGTTTTGTTGTTCCATTTATAGAGGACATGGAGAGTAGATTAAGCATCATTCTGAAGGGCCCTGGGATTTTTAGGGCAGAAATGAGCATTGGCTTCAATTTAAAGTCACCAGTTGAAATAGCCCCTAACAAGCAAGTCAGGCTGCCTTTTGAAGCTTTGAAGCCAGGAATTGACTTCTCCTCTGCAGCTCTGAAAGTACCAGATGGCATCTTCTTCTAATAGAAGTCTCTTTTGCCTATATTAAAAATTTGTTGTTTAGTGTAGTCAACTAATGATCCCAGTTAGATTTTCTGGATAACTTGCTGCAGCATCTACGGCAGCACTTGCTGCTTCACCTTGTACTTTTATGTTATAAAGGTGGCTTCTTTGGCCAGGTGTGGTGCTCATGCCTATAATCCCAGCACTTTGGGAGGCCGAGGCAGGCAGATCACCTGAGGTCAGGAGTTCGAGACCAGCCTGACCAACATGGAGAAACCCCATCTCCACTAAAAATACAAAAGTAGCCAGGCATGGTGGCACATGCCTGTAATCGCAGCTACTTGGGAGGCTGAAGCAAGAGAATCGCTTGAACCCGGGAGGCGGAGGTTTCAGTGAGCTGAGATCACGACATTGCACTCCAGCCTGGGCAAGAATAGCAAAACTGTGTCTCAAAAAAAAAAAGGTGGCTTCTTTCCTTAAACCCCATGAACCAACCTCTGCTGGCTTTACACTTTTCTTTTGCAGCTCTCACCTCTCACAGCCTTTGTAGAACTGAAGAGAGTTAGGGCCTTGCTCTGGATTAGGTTTTGGCTTAAGAGAATATTGTGGCTGGTTTGGTCTTCTAACCAGACCATTCAAACTTTCTACATATCAGTAATAAGGTTGCATCACCCTCATAATTTGCATATTCACTAGAGGAGCACTTTTAATTTCCTTCAAGAACTTTTCCTTTCCATTCACAACTTGGCCAACAGTTTGGCACAAGAGGCCTAGCTTTACGCCTATTTGGGCTTTTGACATGTCTTCCTCACTAAACTAAATCAGTTTCAAGTTCAAGGGAGAGATATGTGACTCTTCCTTTCACTTGAATACTTAGCGATTATTATAGGATAACTGACATGATTTCAATATTGTGTTTCAGGGAATGGGGAGGCCTGAGGAGAAAAAACAGGGATGAGGAAATGACAAGTTGGTGACGCACTAGTTGAATACGTACATCTATTAAGTTTGCTGTCTTATATAGCTGTGGTTAGTGGCGTGCCCAAACAATTATAATGGTAACATTAGACATCACCAATCACACATCATCATAATAGATATAATAACAACTTTAAAGTTTGAAATATTGCAGGAATTACCGAAATGTGTCATAGAGATACAAAGTAATTACATGCTGTTAGAAAAATGGTGCCCACAGACTTGCTGGATGCAGAGTTGATACAAACATTCCATTTGTAAGAAACATAATATCAGTAAAGTGCAATAAAGCAAAGCACAATAAAATAAGGTATACCTGTAGTTATAAGCCGGTGAAATAAGAAGACCTTAAATAAAACAGCTAGAATTAAAAACACATTAATTACATGGCATCAAAGGTAAAAATAAGAACTACATTTTCATCAGAAGCAATGCAAGATAGGAACAATCAAACAACACTTTAAGTGAGAAACAGGATAAAACTGTCAAACTAAAATTCAATATCCAGCAAAAATATTCTTAAAAATTAAGTTTAAATAAAGAAGTCGTTTTCAGTCAAAAAGAGTAAGAGATCATTTATCACCAACAAACCTGAAGCACAGTCATGTTAAAGAAAGTTCTTTAGGTCAAAGTCATCATAATAATAATATCAGTTAGAAATTCAAATCTACACAAATAAATGAGAAGGACTGGAAAGAACAATGTGAGAAACTATTAAATGCTTTTTTCTCATTTCTTATTTATTTAAAACATAATTTACCATTTAATGCAAAAATACTACAGTATTTTGGAAATTACAGATAGGTATATTTAAGCTTTATGACAGTAACAAGACAAAGAACAGTACAGAAAAATATAAAAATATTGTTAGAATGCATCTATAGAATACTTGAATTTCCCCCCTTATTCATGGAGAATAAATTCCGAGACCCCCAGTGGATGCCAAAAACTTGAGGATAGAACCAAATGTTATATGCACCATGTTCTTTCCTATGCATACATACATATCAGTAACATTTAATTTATTAGGTACAGTAAAAGATTAATAGCAATAACAAAATGAAATAGAATAATTTAAAAATATATTGTAATAAAAGTTATGTGAATGTGATTTCTCTCTCTCAAAACATCTTATTGTACTGTTCTGCAGGTAACTGAAAACAGAAAAGCAAACTGCAAACGGGGGGCTGCTGTATACCTAATGTTATTTAAATGTAGGATTTAGCAAGTTTCAAATGCATATTGTAAACCCCAGAATACTCACTTTTTAAAAAAATAAAACAGAGATACAGCTAAAAAGTTTTAGAAGATAAAATGAAGTATTAAAAAATATGTTAGTGTAAGCCAAAAGAAGGTTGAAAAAGAGAAGAAAAGAACAAAGAACAGATTAAACAAATTGCAAACCACAGTGAAGCAGTAAAGTAGTAGACCTAAACCCAACTACATCAATAATTCACTAAGTTTAATGGTTTGGCACTATAATTAAAATACAAGTATTAAGGGATCAGATAACCAAAGCTAAATTAAACTATATGCTATGTACAAGAAATAGATATTAACTATAAGAACAGGGATAGAACAAAATTTCAAAGACAGTAAAGGTATACCAAGCAGTCACCACTCTAAAGAAAGATCGTGTTCCTATATTAATACCAGATAAAGTAGACCATGTTTAAGGAATAGTTGAGGCATAAAAAGGGATGTTTTTAAGTGATCAATTCATAAAAAGATATAAGAATCCTACATATGTATGCAATTGTACCAGAGCTTGAAAATATATGAAACAACAGTCACAGAACTACAACAAGAAATCACAAATCCACAATCATAATTGACAAGTTTCATGCCCCTCCCTGAGTTTAACAGAATAAGTCGATGGCTAATCTATCAATTTACATGAATTGATTGACATTTATAAAGCATGACACACAACAGCAAATATACATTCTGCTCAAACATAAATGGATTATTCATTCAAATATACTATATACTGCGTCATAAAAGAAGAATCAACAAGTATTAAGGATGGAAAATTTGTTATCTGACTATAAGAAAATTAAAATGGAATTCAATTTTATAAACAAACTGGAAACCACAATTATTTGGAAAAACATATTTTTAAATAACTCAAGAAGAAATCACAAGGGAACCTTAAAAATATTGTGAACTAAAAAAATAACATATCAAAATGCACCAGATGCAGCTAAAGTAGTTTATAAGAGGAAATTTTTTAGCTTAAAGTGTTTATATTCGAAAACAGAAAAAATCTAAATTGAAAAATCTGGACCTTCCTTATTACAAAAAAGAAAATATTAAACCCAAATTAAGTAGAAGAAAAAAATAAAATTGAGAGTAAAAATCAAGAAAGTGGAAAATATGTAAACAATAAAAGATTAATAAAATCCAAAGCTGTCTTACTAAAAAGATTAATAACTTTGTTAGATGCTTAGCTAGAGTTATCAGGTTAAAAAAAAGACATATTTGCCAATATCAAGAATGAAAAATGAAACAATACTAGAGACCCTACAAACACTAATGAGATACTATGGAGAAATTATAAAAGACTTTAGGCCAGAAAATGAAAATAACACATTGCTTGAAACAAAGAACACAAGAAGAAATAGAAAAGCTGAAGAGCTTTATGGATATTTGTGATTACAACCTTCTCACAAAATTCCAGGCTCAGATGGATTGACTGGTGATTTCTACAAAATACTTAAGGAATAATGCCATTTCTCCAGAAATTCTTTCTGAATACCAAGGAGGAAGCCATACTTCCTAGCTCATTTTATGAGGTCGCCATTACTCAAATAATAACACCAGGCAAAATTATTATTTTAAAAAACTCTATATTTCCTGAATATAGACACAAAAACACCTAACATAATTCTAGTAAGTACAATCCAGAAATATTTCAAAAGGGTTATCTTAAAGCTGCAAAATTAGTTTAAAATTTGCATACTGATCAATATGCAGTATTTTGCTATTTTAATAAATAAAAAAGATAAGATACATGCTTATTTCAATGGATACAAAAGAACATTTGACAATTTTAAACACTAATTTATAATAAAAACTCTCAGCAAATTTAGAAGGAAGCTTTCTCTGATAAAAGGTATATGTAAAAAAAGATAAAGCAATCATATTTACAATTGAAAGAATGAATATTTTCTCCAATATTTGGGAAAGGCAAGTTTGATTACCACTTCTGTTGGCTTCACTACTGGAAGTCTTAGTTAATGAAATAAGCCAATAAAAGAAAAGGAACAAACATTAAATATAAAGAAGTAAAACAGTCTTCATCTAGAGATGGCATCATTATGCATGAGAACATCTTAAGGAATTTACAGAAAGGTTTCTAGAAGTAATAAATGAATTTAGTAAGGTTGTAAGATAGAAGGTAAATATACAGGCTGGGCATGGTGGCTCCCGCCTGTAATCCCAGAACTTTGGGAGGCTGAGGTGGGTGGATCATGAGGTAAAGAGATTGAGACCATCCTGGCCAACATGGTGAAACCCCATCTCTACTAAAAGTACTAAAAATTAGCTGGGCGTGGTGGCCCGCGCCTATAGTCCCAACTACTCAGGAAGCTGAGGCAGGAGAATCATTTAAACCTGGGAGGCGGAGGTTGCAGTCAGCCGACATCACGCCACTGCATTCCAGCCTGGCAACAGAGTAAGACTCCGTCTCAAAAACAAAAACAAAAACAAACAAACAAAAGAAGGTAAATAGGTAAATACACAAAAATTAATTGTATTTCTATATATAAGAAAAGGACACTTCAAAATTAGATTTTAAGGATTTCATTTTATCCTGTCTTCCAAATCATAAAATTATTAGGGATAAATTTAATAAAATGTGTTTAAGACCAGAGCTCTGAAAATGACAAAGCACTGTTGGGAGTAATTAGAAAATCTAAATATAATAGAGACTCATAATGTTTGTGAATTGGAAGCAAGACAATCCTTTTAAGGTATCAACTCTCACAAAATTGGTTTACCAATTCTATACAGTTCTAATGAGAACCCATAAAAATCACAGAGACTATCTGATAAAAATCGACAAGCTAATTACAAAATTTATCTGAGGAATTTAAACAGAAATGCAAAAAAACTAGAAAAGCCAAAACAATGTTGAAGAAAAAGAACAAATATGAAAAACCCATACCATTTGATTAGAAGCTTATTTTAATTAAATATTTTACTTAATTGTAATTAATCTCAACCCTTTCCTCATATCATATACAGAAATTACCTCTAGAAAATAGATAATATCTTGATACCTCTAGATAATAGAACTAAGCATAAACAAGTGAAATCTTTTAGAAGAGATCAGAGGAAAAAATCATTGCAATCTTGTGGTTGAAAAACACATTCTAAATACTTCCTAGATAAGACATTAGGACACACACACACACACACATACACATTTGACCATTAAAAAATAATAAAATTAATTGGACTTCCACAAATTTCAACTACTGTGATTTGAAAAACACATTAGGAAAATGAATATACAAAAAACAGACTGGAAAATAATGTTTGCAATACATATATCTGATAAACAATTTGTATCAAAAATGTAAAAAAAATCTTTCATTTCAACTGTAAGAAGACAATCAACATAAAAACGGGAAAAATGAGTTGATCAGAAACTTCACATACAAACATGCATGAATGGCCAATAAGCACATAAACGATGGTCAACATCATTAATAATCAAGGGAATGAAAACTGAAATCATAATTAGCTACCTCTACATACATATCACAATGGCTAATGTTAAAAAGGCTGACTAGTATTTGCTGGTGAGGATGTGGAATAACTGGAACTGGAATTCTCATATTGCTGGTGGTAGTGTAACATGGTATAATCACTTTGGAAAGCAATCTGATAACTTCAAAATCATATACTTATTTTATGATCAGACAGTTCTATTCTTTAAATTGTTTACCTGAGAGAAATGGAACATATTTCTACAGAAAGACTTGTATATGAATAATCATAGCAACTTTTTTCATAATATCTTAAACCTGGAAATAATACAAATGTCTATACACAGTTGAATGCATAAACCATTGTAGTATATCCATATAAGGGAATACTATGCAGCAATAAAAGGACATATACTAAAGATAAACCTTATCATATTATGCTGCATGAAAGAAGCCAGATATGAAGGATTACAAACTGTAGAACTGCTTTTATATAAAATTCTAGAACAGGCAAAAATAATCTATAGAAGCTAAAAGCAGATTAGTGGTTGCCTGGTAACTGGGTTGGTATGTTGGGGTGGAGAAAGGAATTGACTACAAATAGTCATGAGAGATTGTACTGGTGTTATGAGAGTATTCCGTATCTTAATTGTGATGGAGGTTATGCAAATGTACACATATAGCAAAACGCATCACACTGTTTATTGAAAATTCGTGCATTTTATTGTACATAAATTATATATCAATTGGTTGGATAATGTTAATTTTAATGATTTATAAACATCTAGCATTCTGTTAAGTTTAGAAAGATATTTTTGCCTATAAGGAGCAAAATTTTTAGGAGACTTTAAGAAAAGAAGGCTACTGTAAATATACTTTGATTGGAATTTGAACCAGAACTGATTTGAAAATCTCTGAGACGGGAACAAAATTGAGGATTAAGGAAATATGGGGCAGGTAGGCAACTGAACTCAAACTCACTGAGTTGTTTTACTCTGTCAGACTTCATGCTAAGAGTAGTTCATATGTTATCTTGCATACTTATCAAAACAATTTAAGATAAGCATTATTAAACTTTTTATGCAACATGCCCAAGTAACAAAGTTAAAAGTAAAGGTGTTGAAATACCAGCGTATGCCTATTTTTTTCCAAAGACATCATAGCTCTTTTCACTTAAGTAATAAAAAACAATTGATGAGGCAGCATTCACTAAATTTGAAGGGGGTTATTTCTGGTCCATTTTTTAGAGGGATTTGTCTTAAAAGTGAATAACAACTTTTTCTACCTCCGACAGCAATGTCAGAAACTGGATGTAAAGAAAGTACTTAACATTTTTGACATAAAAAATTTTAAATGAAAGGGAGTTGAGGAGACTTACTCTCTGTGATTAAATTCACCACCTGATTTTCAGTTTCTAGACTAAGGGACTTGAGGAGATCTCTTAAAATTTCCCCAATTACTAAACAAATTAGTGTGGCTAAATAATACTCCTACATTCACAGTCTCTCAAAATAACAAGTCCAAGATCGTGACCCTAATGAGAATCATCATTTTGTCTGGTGGTTTCTAGTGGTATTATGCAAGAGTCTGGATTGCTCTACATTTTTATAAATCATTCATACACAGTTTTATGAAGAAATACCAGTAGAATTTACTCCTTTGAAAATAGTAAAAAGTTGGAGAGAATAATGCTATGAAGGAATAAAAGAATTCAAAAATTAGAAATACTGAAGATAGAACAATGAGAGATGAAAACGAAAACACAACCTAGTTGTAAACATGAAGTCCTTTATTTAAATTGAAAACCTGAGAGGCACTTGAACTTGGATAAATTACAGCTTATTTAGGGGAAGGCAATCAGAATGGCCAAATATTCAGAAAACACATTTTAGGAAAAACATTTGAAAAAGTTGAAAATGAGAAGGTTTTGTGGTTGCCCAAAGGTCTGATAGATGAAGACTTATTTTCATTTTGCGCAAGGATGATCAGTGCGTGAAGAGCGACGTATAATAGACATACTTGTCCACAAATGAAACAGACTGCTTCATAGAGGAATGAACTTTCTACCATTAGAAGTACAGGAGAAGACAAACATTTAGCTGGATTAACTGAGAAAAAAGTAAGAAATCCCAAATAAATAAAATCAAAGCTGAAAAAGGAGACAGTACAACTGACACTAGAGAAATACAAAGGATCATGAGAGAGACACTATTCTAAATAATTACATACTAACAAGTTAGAAAATCTAGCAGAAATAGATACATTCCTGGCCACATACAATCTACCAATATGGAATTATTAAAAATAGAAAATCTCAACAGACCAATAATGAGTAAGGAGATTAAATAAGTAATAAAAAGTCTCCCACGGAAGTAACATACAAGACCTGATGGCTTCACTGCTGAATTCTATCAAACATTTAAAGAATTAATACCAATTCTTCTCAAACTATCCCAAAATATTTAAGAGGAAGGAATTTTTCCAAACTCATTCAATGAGGCCAGCATTACCCTGATACCAAAACCTGACCAGGACACACAAAAAAGAAAACACCTGGCCAATATCCTTGATGAACACAGATGCAAAAAAATTCAGGAAACACTAGCAAACTAAATTCAGCAGCACATTTAAAAGATCATCCACCATGATCAAGTGGAATTCATCATAGGAATGCAAGGATGTTTCACACATGGAAATCAATAAAAATGATCCATTACACTAACAGAGTGAAAGACAAAAACTATATGATCATTTCAGTAGATGTAGAAGAAGCATTTGATGAAATTCAACATCGCTTTATGATAAAAACTCTCAACAAATTAGTTTAGAAGGAATGTACCTCAATATAATCAAGGCCATATATGACAAACCCACAGCTAACATAATACTGAATGTGAAGTTGAAAGCTTTTACTTCAAGATGTGGAACAATACAAGGAGGCTTACATTTACCACTTCTATTTCACATAGTTCTGGAGGTCCTAGCCAAAGCAATTAAGCAAGAGAAAGAAACAAAAAACATCGAATTCAGAAAGAATGAATAGATTATCCCTGTTTGAAGAGAAGATGATCTTATACATACAAAACCCTAAAGACTATACCAAAAAATAATCTGTTAGAACTAATCAATGATTTCAGTAAAATTGCAGGATATAAAATTAACATACAAAAATCAGTAGTAGTTTTATATGCTAATAGCAAACTGTCTGAAAAGGAAATACAAAAAAATTGCATTTACAATAACTACAAAAAATTCCTAGGAATACATCTAACCAAGGAAGTAGAAGATCTCTACCATGAAAACTATAAAACACTTACAAAATGAAATTGAAGAAGATACAAATAAATGGACAGATATCTCATACTTATGAATTAGAAGAATTAATAGTGTTTTTTCTAATTCTGTGAAGAAAGTCAATGGTAGTTTGATGGGAATAGCATTGAATCTATAAATTACTTTGAGCACTATAGCCATTTTAATGATATTGATTCTTCCTATCCATGAGCATGGAATATTTTTCCATTTGTTTGTGTCCTCACTTATTTCCTTGAGCAGTGGTTTGTAGTTCTCCTTGAAGAGGTCCTTTACGTCCCTTGTAGGCTGTATTTCTAGGTATTTTATTCTCCTTGTAGCAATTGTGAATGGGAGTTCACTCATGATTTGGCTCTCTGTTTGTTTATTGTTGATGTATAGGAATGCTTGTGATTTTTGCACATTGATTTTGTATCCTGAGGCTTGGCTGAAGTTGCTTATCCACTTAAAGAGAATTGGGGCTGAGAAGATGGGGTTTTCTAAATATACAATCATGTCATCTACAAAGAGAGACAATTTGAATTCCTCTCTTCCTATTTATATACCCTTTATTTCTTTCTCTTGCCTGATTGCCCTGGCCAGAACTTGCAAATACTATGTTGAATAGGAGTGGTGAGAAAGGGCATCCTTGTCTTGCACCAGTTTTCAAAGGGAATGCTTCCAGCTTTTGTGCATTCAGTATGATAATGGCTATAGGATTTCTTTTTTTTTTTTCTTTTCTCTTTTCTTTTTTTTTTTTTTTTTTTGAGATGGAGTCTCGCTCTGTCACCCCAGGCTGGAGTGCAGTGGCGCAATCTCAGCTCACTGCAACCTCCGCCTCCTGGGTTCAAGTGATTCTCCAGTCTCAGCCTCCCAAGTAGCTGGGATTAGAAGTGCATGCTACCACACCTGGCTAATTCTTTTTTTGCATTTTCAGTAGAGACAGGGTTTCGCCATGTTGGCCGGGCAGGTCTTGAACTCCTGACTTCAAGTGACCTGCCTGCCTCGGCCACCCAAAGTGCTGGGATTACACGCATGAGCCACCACACCTGGCCTAGGATTTCATACAAAACCAAAAAAGAGCCCATATACCCAAGACAATCCTAAGCAAAAAGAACAAAGCTGGAGGCATCATGCTACCTGACTTCAACCTATACTACAAGGCTACAGTAACCAAAACAGCATGGTAGTGGAACAAAACAGACCTATAGACAAATGGAACATAACAGAGACCTCAGAAATAACACTACACATCTATAACCAACTGATCTTTGACAAACCTGACAAAAACAAGAAATGAGGGAAGGATTCCCTATTTAATAAATGGTGTTGGGAAAACTGGCTAACCATATGCAGAAAACTGAAACTGGACCCCTTCCTTACACCTTATACAAAAATTAATTCAAGAGGGATTAAAGACTTAAATGTTAGACCTGAAACCATAAAAACCCTAGAAGAAAACCTAGACAATACCATTCAGAACATAGGCATGGACAAAGACCTCATGACTAAAACACTAAAAGCAATTACAATAAAAGCCAAAATTGACAAATGGGATCTAATTAAACTAAAGAGCTTCTGCTCAGCAAAAGAAACTACATCAGAATGAACAGGCAACCTACAGAATGGAAGAAAAATTTTGCAATCTACCCATCTGACAAAGGGCTCATGTCCAGAATCTACAAGGAACTTAAACAAATTTACAGGAAAAAACCAACAACCCCATCAAAAAGTGCGCAAAGGATATGAAGAGACACTTCTCAAAAGAAGACATTTATGAGGCCAACAAACATATGAAAAAAATATCATCACTGATCGTTAGAGAAATGCAAATCAAAAACACAATGATATACCATCTCACGCCAGTGAGAATGGCAATTATTAAAAAGTCAGGAAACAATAGATGCTGGCGAGGCTGTGGAGAAATAGGAATGCTTTTTCACTGTTGGTGGGATTGTGAATTCAACCATTGTGGAAGACAGTGTGGTGATTCCTCAAGGATCTAGAATCAAAAATATCATTTGACCTGGCAATCCCATTACTGAGCATATATCTAAAGGAATATAAATCATTGTACTATAAAGCCACATGTACATGTATGTTTATTGCAGCACAATTTACAATAGCAAAGACTTGGAACCAACCCAAATGCCCATCAATGATGGACTGGATAAAGAAAATGTGGTACATATACACTATGGAATACTATGCAGCCATAAAACGGAATGAGATCATGTCCTTTGCAGGGACATGAGTGAAGCTGGATGCCATCATCTACAGCAAACTAACACAGAAATAGAAAACCAAACACCACATGTTATCACTCATAAGTGGGAGTTGAACAATGAGAACACATGGACACAGGGAGGGGAACAACACACACTGGGGCCTGTTGGGGGCTGGGAGGCAAGGGGAGGGAGAACATTAGGACCAACACCTAATGCATGGGGTCTTAAAACCTAGATGACAGGTTGATAGATTCAGCAAACCACCATAGCACATGTTTACCTATGTAACAAACCTGCATACTCTGCACATGTATGCTAGTACTTAAAGTAAAAATAAATAAATAAATAAATAATAAAGCATTAATAGTGTTAAAATGTTCACACTTGCCAAAGTGATCTACAGATTCAATGCCATCCTTATCATAATATCAAAGACATTCTTCACAGAAATAGAAAGACCAATTCTAATATTTGTATGGAACCACAAAAACCTCAAATAGCCAAAGCAATATTGAGCAAAAGGAACAAAACTGGAGGCCTCACACTATCTTATTTGAAAATATACCATAAAGCTATCATAACCAAAACACCATAATTTGACACAAAAATAAACAGACCAATGGAACAGAATTGAGAGCCTAGAAAGAAATCCAGGAATTTATAATCAACTGATATTAGCAAAGATGCCAAAACACATATTGAGAGAAAGACAGTCTTTTACATAAATGATGTGGTAATACTGAATATTCATATACAAAAGAAATTAAACCTTTACTCTCATCACATGCAAAAATCAACTCAAAATGAATTAAGCATTTAAATGTAAGATCCAAATCTACGAAACTACTAGAAGAAAGCATAGGGGAACTGCTTCGTGATGTTGGCATGGGCAAGAATTGTTGGATAAGACCTCAAAATCACAGGTAACAAAAGCAAAATTCAACAAATAAGATTACATCAAACTGAAAAGCTTCTGCACAGCAAAGAAACAGTCAGCAGAGGGAGAAGACAACCTACAAAATGGAAGAAAATATTTGCAAACTACCTGTATAACAAGGGATTAATATTTAAAATATATAAGGAACTCATAACTCAACAGCAAGAAAACAAATAAACCCATTTAAAAATGGGTAAAAGACTTGAATAGATACTTCTTAACAGAAGACATACCAGCTAACAGGTATATAAAAAATGTTCAACATTACTTATATAAGAGAAATGCAAATCAAAACCACAATGAATTATCACTTCACACTTGCTAGAATGGCTACTATCAAAAAGTCAAAGATAACAAGTGTCAGTGAAAACGTGGAGAAAAGGAATCCCTTATACACTTTTGGTGGGAATGTAAATTGGTACAACCACTATAGAAAACAGTATGGAGCTTCCTCAAAATATTAAAAACAGAACTACCATATGATTCAGCAATCCCACTAAAGGGTATATATCCAAAGAACCTGAAATCCGGATGTTAAAGAAACATTTGCATTCATGTTTATCACAGCACTATTCATGATAATCAAGACATGGAATCAACCCAAGTAACTATCAACAAGAGAATAAAGAAAACGTGCCACACATACACAATGGAATACTCTTCACTCTGAAAAAATGATGAAATCCTATCATTTGTGACAACATGGATGAACTTAGAGAACATTATGTTAAGTGAAATAAGCCAGGCACAGAAAGGCCAAATACAACACGATATCTCTCATATGTGAAATCTAAAAAAGCTGATCTCATAGAAGACAGCGGAGTGGTATTTATCACAGACTTGAGAAGGTAGGGAGGATGGGGAGATGTTGGTCAAAGGATATACAATTACATTTACATAGGAAGAGTTAAAAATGTCCAGAATAGTCAAACATATAGAAACAACAACTAGACAATTGGTTGCCTGGGGCTAGTGGGTGGGAGGGAGAGGCTAGAAGGTGGGGGAGAGAAACAGGAAATAAATAGTAATGGTTCTGGTGTTTCTTTATTGAATGATGAAAATGTTCTAAAGTTGATTGTGATGATGGTGGCACAACTTTGTAAACATACTAAAAACTATTGGATTGTACGTTTTAAATGTGTGAAGTATATAATATGTGAATTATATCTAAGTGAAGGTGTTTAGAAAGATAATTTTTTTCTGGAATAAAATAAACTTCGACTCATCCTCCTCAAAAGACACGTATAGGAGAAGATGATAAATGACAATCTTACAAGAGGAGTACAAATGAAGTTTAAGATGTTAGGTTAGATAACTTGAATTCTAGAGATCAAAGAGATGGCCACAATTTAGTTGTGACAGATGAAGAAGAGGAAATTCAAAGGTGGTTTCATGGCTTCTTGAGGAAGAAGTAAAAGGACAGAAAGAGGAAAGACAAAAAGAGAGGCAGATTTGGGGAGAAAGCCCAGTACATTCTATTTTATAATCAATTTTAAATTTATATTGTGATACCAGTGTTAGAACCAGTTGCAAATATTTTGTTGATATTATTTGCAAATTCAGGGCTCTGTTTCATGAAAAGAAGGTGAAGGAGTTATTGTTTGGGAGCTTATTAGCCTAGAAATTGCTGCTGAAGAAAAGAGTATAAGTGATATCTTAAGGAGAGGGAATACAGTGAGGTAAAGAGGATAAGAGTAGCGCTTTGAGGAATGATTTATCACTTTTTTAGAGTCGGAAAACAGCAAAGAATCAGAGAAGGACCATTAAAAGGAGGAAAAATGTTGGATATTGCCAGCCTAGAGAAACCAAGAGAGAAGAGTATACCAAAGAGGCAGGGGTCATTAAAGATAGTTTAAAATACTACATAGAGGGCAAGACTAAAGAAGACTCAGAAAATTTCATTTTAACTTCACCATCAGAATTTGGAGATGAGAGATAATTTTCTGTGGTTTACAAATGTTAGTAAATGGGAGCAATGAGTGGGCATTTTTTTCAATGTATTTAATGGCAAAGGAAATAATAAGGAGATAGCATGTTGATTGCAAAAATCAAGATGAAAGCAATTTTGTTTGGAAAATTAGATGCTTTTGCATATGTTTGTGTAGGCCGAAACAATTGGAAAAAATATTGAAGCTGCTAAAGGAAGAAGAGGTGTATTCTACAGCTCCTAGAGATACCAGACAGTAGGGACCATGAGGTGGTGGCCTTGGGGGTGTGGCCTTGGGGCCACGATGAGTTAGCCTTGGGGGCTAACTCTGTAATTCTTGGTTTCCAGATACGATGCATTAGTGATGAATTTCTAAATGTTACTAAGAGATCTAGATATACAATGCACACCCAATCTAATTTAGTGCTTGATACATATTAACTATTAGTCTTAAAAACCTAAGTTTTTTTTTTTAAAGATGGAAACAGGAGAAAAGAGAAGGAAAGATAAAGATACCAGAGAAAGTCTCAGAAAGTGAAGCATGGTGACAGATGGAGAAGAGGAAAGATTATGGAGGTTTTACCAGATGGCCTCTGCTTTTTCAGTAAAGTTGGAAGGAAGGTCATCTGTTTGGAGTAAGGATGGCGTGGTTGAGAATGAGGCATCACAAATGTAGAAAAAAATGTTAGAACATTTTTTTTCTTGAGAGAAAAAGATATACCATTCAGAGAGGAGTAAGATACTTAAGATCCTGAGGAATAAGATGTCTAAAAGTGAGGTAAGGGAACATGAGCTTATCCGACTCATGGTAACTTTCTGATAAATCCATTAAGCCAAGCTTGGTTGCTTAGTAGTGAATGTGTACCCTACAAATGGTGGTTGAGTAACTCACTTTTGGGATTTGGCATGATTTAAGGCCACTATAAAGGGTGATTCTAGTGTATTAGAGCACATGGAAGAGTCTTGGGCCTGGAGGAGGCTCATAAAACTGGTAGAGTGAAGAACTGGAATAATTGAGGCAAAGTTGGGGACAGGAGCTGTGATAAGGACAAAAATTAGATGCAGTAGAAGGAAAGAAATAGAACAGCTGGAAGGTAAAGTGGTTGTCATAGGAGAGAGGAGCTCTTCAATGGGGATTATTGAAGTTAGGTCAGTCTTAAGAGAAGGGGGTCCAAAGTAGTAGAAGTAGAGGGTTGGTTGAAGAGCATTAATATCAATGATATATGAGTTGAAGGTACTAAGAAAATTTTGTAAAAGGTGTGAGTTTAGACATTAAGAAAGATTCTCAAATTATTGAGCTGATAGATGAATTAAGGGAGAAAAAATATAATACAATAACAGCAGTAGAACTTCATGGAAGATGAAGTTAGTGGTTAGGTGATAGTTTCAAGGCTCTGAAGAGACCTTTAAAAGACAGAGAACACAAAATTTCATAACAAAGAGTCTCAAAAATTTCAGAACAAAGAACATTTACCTGGGATCTAATAAATCTGAGCTCAAAGCATGGCTCTGCCACTAAGTAAGTTAGATTTCCTAGAAAAAGGGATCTCACTTATATGTGGAATCTAAAAAAAGGCAAACTCATAGGACTAGAGAGTAGAACGGTAGTTACTAGGGGCTGGGGTGTGGGGAAAATGGGGGGATGTTAGTGAAATAATACAGAGTTTCAGTTAGGAGAAATAAATTTTTCGAGATCTATTGCATGACATGGTGACTATAATAATAATGTAATGTACATTTCAAAATTGGGTGAGAATATATTTTAAATGTCTATAATATAAAAAAAAGCATGTAAGATAATAAATATGTTAATGAGCTTGATTTAATCATTTCATAATGTGTATATAGATCAACACATCATATTGTACCCCCAAAATATACATAATTATTCTTTGTCAATTTAACATTTTAAAAAAGAAAGAAAGTTAAAGACTTGAACTCAGATTATTTATAGAGCTAATAACTGTGAACCTCTAAGACACAGAGCTTCGCAGAAGCTTACAATCAAGTTAGAGAGATAAGCTGCATTCCCATACAAAAAGAGTTAAAAATAGGAGTGACCTAACTATAGGAGATTGTGGATGTTAAGTGGGTAGCAAAGAAATTCTTGCTACAGATGTATCTCAGACAAGAACTCCATGCTAAGGTCACCACCTTTCATTATGGAGAAACAAAGAAGCCCCATGATCACCTAATGTCACTGCCACCCAGGCACAGCTCCCTCACCAGCTCGCTGTTTTAGCTGGATGTTCTTCCCAAGGAAGCTACAAGCCCGAACCACTGTCTTACTCTAAGGAAGACTTACTGCAGAGAGAGAAGAACAGCCTTGGCCATCAGCAAGCCTCCCTCCTCTACCCACCACAACTTCCAGGGATTTCCAGCAAATTCTTCTGAAATCTGCCTTTGCCTTTCACCCACCACATTCCACAACCAGTCTCTGCCTTAGACAGTTGAACCCACTTCCCTGATGCCCCCCACATGTTATTTTTTCCCTACTCCAATATGATTAATATAATAGTTTAGGTAATTCATTACCTCCTGAAAAGGAGGCACAGTAGGCACAAGGCTTAGGGTACATTATAATTTTAGGAGTCCACAAAAGTGTTTTTTCTTTTAAAATCAGAAAAAAAATAAATGTAATACAAATAAATATGTTAAATTGAATCAAGCCTGGATTACATCGTCATTATACCTACACAGTCATAAAATAGAATTGTAATTCCTCCCTGCCACGCAGAAAAAGGAGCCCATGGAGACCCAAATGCCCAGGAGCCTACCGAAACCATAAAGCAGCCCTGAGTGTAATCATTCATGGCTTCCTTTCACCCCTCTCAAAACAGTCTTGGTTTTAATTATAAAATTATGTGCTGACCTTGCATCTGAGAAAGTTGAAGAGAGAAATGGGGAGATGTGGGGAGATAGAAATTCTCAAATCTAAAGTAAATTACAGGTAAATGTCTATTTCAGACCAATAGTTATGGCAAAACTTATGGCCACTTTTGAACAGTTTCTTTGAGTTCATTTAACTCTGAAGTGTCCCTTGCATTCTTAGAATTATTCTAAGAAAGTCCAGCTCACCATCCAGGACACCCGAAGGATAAATGAGAGAAGGGATAGGGAGATTGTGGCTCCATCCACCACCCAAAGCCCCCTACCCCAGGAACTCCACCACCATCTCTTTTTTTGTTGTTACATTTTGTTTTGTTTTATTCCTTGCTCTCTCTCACTTTCTCTCTGTCTCCCAGGCTGCCAAGTTTTGTTAGAGATACTTTTGAAAACATGCTGATTGGCTTTGCCACAAATTCGTGTTCTCTAACCCCTCACTGTGGCTCAGCAATCCTTCTTTTCATCTCTTGTTAACTCTGTTTACTACTTCTCTGATGGCTTGGCATAGAGTAGAATGAGAAACAGTCTGTCTCTTGATCACTCAGCAAGTTTTGGTTGAAGACCTACAGCAACGCTCAGGACACCAGGTCCTGTCACAGTTTTGACCTCAAGTTGCTCACAGTGTAGTGAGAAATACAATTTGATTTACCAATTTTTAAATCCCTACTATGTGCCAAGTATGACAGTAACACTTAGGGATTGAAAAGAATTTGACATGACTCTGCTTCCCCTGAAAAATTCACTTTTCAAATATATGTAAATGCATAACCACAACCCAAAGGTTGCCTCCCTTTAATTAGAAGGTAGGTGGCTGACTATGTTAAGTTCACTTCAGGGAAGACTACTTTTGCTCTCTGCAAAAATTGGCCCCACCTCCACAATAGACTGCCCTTTACTCTTCATTTGGACCTCCTCCCATCTGCAGACATTTCAACAGTAAAACCATAGTGAATACAAAATTATTTTTAAATCATTAAAACCCTTGGCCCAAACAGCTAGCCAGAGCATACTGTTCCTTAGTTAGGAGCTGTCAAAGTCACTTAAAAACAAAGTTGAACAAAGTGTGAGACAAATATACAAGAAGAGCCAAAGGGGCAGGTCAAATATCACCAGGTAACCCAAATCCGCTGTGGTTTGGAGGGAGTATGCATCTGCAGACTCCCAGAGACCGCAATGCTGATTAGCTTTTTCATCTTACCCCAGGAAGGATGGACATTTTTCTTGTTACTGAGAGACACGAGGAACCCATTATTTCTTTGTAAAGACAAATATCCATTTCAGTAAGTAATTTAAAGCACACACTGTAGAGAACATGCGTGGATATTTGGCATAGAGTGGGGAGTACTAATAAAATAACTTCTCTTTAGCGGGTCTTTTCTAGACTAAAAGGCAGAATTAATGGTGTCTCTTTTCTGGTATTTACCATATTATAGATGCTTATAGTTGATCAACTGTTAGAAATAAAGCAGTCTTATGCACATAAAATAAGGGAAGGAGGACAAGAGAAATCCATCACCATTTTCTGTCCTTACTTAGAATGTCATCAGTGTTTGGTGCTCTTGATGTCAGCCTGGCTAATGACTGTCTTTCATTATTAGATATGTGTATACCTGAAAGGGCCTAGGATTGTCTCAATCATACATATTTGACTTTGACACTAGTTGCTCCTTTAGAATTTGAGTATCCTAGAAAATAATGCATTTACATTTTAAAATGAACAGTATTTCATGACATGTTCGTGAGTCTAAGAGAAAACTGGGGATTTATGGTATTATGGAGTGCTAAGATTCATTTCCCTGTAGAAATCATATATTTTGCCACCAGCCCTCATCTGGGCATCATGCTGGGCAGAGGCAAGATACATTTAGTATTCAACTAAACAGTTAGTACAAGGGGCTGGCTGCTGTGAGGGAGAAGTCCTATTTTTCCCTATCGCTACCCTCACAGAGCTTATTATTATTTTTAGATAATAGATAAATAAGAAAAAAGGCCAAAGACAGGATTTAATTAGGGCAAATAGTAGAAAAATTCAGAGCGCTGTATTTCAGGGCACAAATGAAGTCCCTAGCACTATGCCTGGTTCCTATTAGGTGCTCAACAAATATTTGTTAAATGAATAACTAAATATTTTCTGTACATGAGAAGATGATGACTCTCAGCTATCATATTTTGGATCTCCATTGGCAAGTATAAGGTTTCAAAATTCTCAACCACTTTTCTTCATGGAAAATTGGCTTCATATTACATGCATAATTTTACAAACAAGTGTAAGAATTATCAAGTTGCTGACCATTATGTGCAATAAAGTTTTTGAGATAAAGAGGGCTCTCTCATGCATTAGGGGAGGAGACTTTTTGATGAAGGCTTTTAAATGGATTTTCGTATGTCACTGCTCTGCAGAACCCCGCACCCCACTCCTATTTACATTTTTGGTGTTCTTCAGAAACTCTTCATACGAGCTCTCTAATCACCAAAAATCATTTTCCAAAATTTCCTTTTCTCTCATTCCTTCCTATTATAATGCATCATCTTCTGGATCAAGTTAAACAATTTCTCTCCTTCCTTTGCTTTTCTTCCTTTGAAATGTTTGCAGACAGTAATTATTTCCCATCTTGGCAGTAGCTTCAATGAATTGTCCATTTTTCTTTAATCCACCCAAATAACTGGATTCTTCTATGGGCTTAATCATCTTGCTTCTCTTGCATGGAGTTCTTCTCATTGCTGTTCTGTTCACTTGTTCTGAAAGGAGATCCCTCAAACTGAACCCTGCATGCTGGTGGGATTTTTAAGGAGCAGGCGTTTTCTTGGTATTCTCTTGAGGCAATTTTATTGCTATGTGGCTTTTTACGGTATTACCAACAATTTGTATTTTCTCCAAACCTGTGCCTAAAGCTTTGCAAAGCTTTATTTGCAGTTATGGGTCTTCATTTAATTAAATATTCTGAAGTGTGACGGGGGAGAGGGGAGAAAGAGAGGGAGAGGTTGTACGTATGTATGTATGTATATGTGTATAAGATATAAAACAGAAGAAGTGCCAAACACATCTATATCTTTTAATTAAAATAGTTTCATTTGACCCAATCCATTAGTGTTTATAACTCTCCAACTTTACCTTACAATTTTAAGAACTGTTATTCACTCAGTAGTTTACAAAGTATTGTTTGATAGATACAAACATAATTATCCAAATAGATACAGATATAGAATTTTAATCCTGAGAGACAGCATTATCCCCATTTTACAGATGGTAAAACCAACCACCAGAAGATTCCAATATCTGGGGAGGGCAGATCTGGGACTCAGCCTTAGGTGCACAGCCTCCTAATCCAAAGCCATTTCTCTTCTAAAACAGCTGCCTCCTCCATCACAGCTGTTGTTTAGAGAAGCCAATTCCAGTTTCAGATAGTGAATATATAATAAAAAACTATGGCAAACTTTATTCTCAGCATCAAATACTTATTGTACACTTTGTTTTATTTATCTGATTGTTTTGCAACTGTCAAAGGGAGGGAAAAAGAAACTAGGAATGTGGAATGCAGCTCATGTTTTTCTTTGTAGAGACCCCTGCTAACACTGATGTCAGAAGCTAAGGACAAGAGCACTGTTCTGAGTTTTCTTTGGTGTAGTGAGAGAGACTAAACATTGCTATGCTCTGGTGATAATAGAACAGAACACATGACATGAAGAATGCAGTGATAGTTACTGGGCTTAGAGCCCCCAAACCATGAACAGGTTGTCTTCCAAATGTTCTCCTGAAGGAAGTTACTTAGAATAGTGGACCCAGGTTTTCATGTGGCAGAGAGGCTTTGTGTAATGAGGTTAAGAGTTTATGCCCATTGAAAAAGTGTGACTGTAGATACCTGGTGTGCAGTACCAGGTACCCTGATGTCTCTATAGTTAAAATAAAATGTGTTCTGGGATGTCTAGGACACAAATCAAAACACTAGTCTCCAACCACTGCAGTGAATCAGGACAGCATTCAAGTGGAATCCTGTGTTCTGGGGAAGGGGTTCCAGAGGGATGGGGATTGCAAGAGCCAAGAGGGCATCCTACAGAGAGGAGAAACCATGCAGTTGACATTAAAAGTTATCGTGAGAGCCTGAGACTTCCACCAGGTGAGCCCTAGGGAGAAGTTCCTACTTTCTTCACACTTGCTAGCCCTGGGGCTGAGCCACCATCTCTCCTTTCTGCAATCATGACTTGTTGCTTCATATTTCCCTTTGACCAGAAACATTGTGGGACAGAAGAGAGGCCCAGGGCTTCCTCTTCATGCTCCATTCCTGAAGCCAGCACACTGCAATGCTAAGGTTGACTGAGTTTATACCTTTTCCTGTCCTCTGGCATAAAGATCACACCAGGAAAAAACGGATTCTTTGCCATGCCCTCCATCCCCGGGCTCTATGGGTATCATTCTGTCATTTCACAATTATTTAATCCATAAATTTGCAATACATACGAGGACAAAATATCAGTGGCTTAGATTGTGTCTTTTAAGTTATTCTAATAAATATTCTAATCCCTAAGGTTACATATTTATATCTAGATTTCCAGTGTAAATTTTCACAATATTTCCCACGTAGTTGCCACAATGAGGGATTCTACAGTAGGACTGCCATGTTCACAAGTTTATGCCCTTTCTTTATTGTTACAATAAAAGTAATAATACCTATCTCAAAGCATTGTTGAGAGGATGAATGAATTGGTCTTTGCAATGGACTTATCCTAGTGATTACCATAGAGTAACTTGGTAAACACTTGGTGTTTTTTTTCTCGTTGCTATCATTGTTTTCTTTGTTTTCTTGTTATGTTTCAGAGCACATGGTTTCTGGCTTTCCTATGGAGTTTTATCAAAGGCGTTGGGAAGACCTCTTTGTTTTGATAGAGGACCTCTGAGATTGGATGCTGTGAGGAGATGGGCTAATACCTGTGGATTTATAACCTCCACGCTTTTCCATTAGAAGATGTGAGCATGGGAAAAAGGATTGGTCCTTCTTCTTTTCTCTCACTATTGCAGTGATTGGTTTGCCCAAGCCCAACCCCATAATGAATGAGAAGTGAGGACTGCCAAGAAACCAGTGAAGAGGAAAGGAGGCAGCAGAGGGTAGTGGTGATAAAATATATTCTGGGCCAGTTGTCTGGGTTTGAACTCCACATCCACCCATTAATTTATGTATGACCTTGAGCAATTTACAGACATTTTCAGTGCCTCAGTCTCCCTACTTGAACAAAGAAGATAATGACCCTATTTACTCATAAGGTTGTCATGAGAGTTAAATGAAGTAGTGTATATAAATGAGTAGAACAATGCCTTTGACAGTAGTTAAACTAGGTTGTAAAAAAGGAGGGAAGTGTATTCCACATGGAGTTAATAATAACAAGCAGCCCCCTCCAGTGGCTTTTCTTGAATCCCATTTGTATCCAAAATGTGTTTATATGTCAACTGTTTTTATTAACCGCAGATTTTTAAAAAATAATGATCCAACTATCTTGTCATTTTTTGCATGTGTTTGCATTTTTTCTAACATGTTTTCTCGTTGTCATCCTAAAGTTATTATCAACTTTAGAAAAACTAAAACCAGATAAAAAAATTTCAGCTGTCCCTTGCATGAATATGTTCTTAGTCTGAATTTGTATCCAGATTTTCCCCCTTCAGGGTCTAGAATGATAAGTGAGAGGCAGTCAAATTCATGCCTGTCTCTGCAAGAGGCATGACTCTGCCACATTTCTTATACAATTCCTGTTCTGCAACAGTGATGACCCCTTCTTCAATCAATCCCTTTATATAAGACTATGCAATTGCTCCCTAAAATGGGCTGAGAAACCAGAGCATAAGCACATGGCAGACTAAATGAGGCATCTACCTTTCAGTATTTGTTATTTAGCCTCTCTGAGCTTGAGTTTTCTCCTCTGAAAAAGGGGCATAATACTACCTACCATTTTGTGCACCATTTATAGTTATTGATAATCATGTATTATTACTACAATGTTTAATCTTACAGTAATAGTTGTGTTTTCTTTCTTTCTTGAATTCATCAAAATCTGCATTTACTCATGCAAATCTGTAGGCAAATTCCATATTTCACATATGGTGAGACATAAAAGGGTTGAGAACAGTTAGGAATGGAAAGACTGTAGTCCCTCGAGAATTCCTCCATTGATCTTACTTTCCTCACCTGAACTCCTGATATGTCCAGAGAGGGAGAGAGTTCATATTTGAGTTCCCTGATGAGTGTGCCACTCTTCTTTACTGTTGTCACAGCATTTGTAAACTATCATGGTGCTGGTGAGAGTGCAGCAATGAGGATGACCAAAGGTCACTCTTGTTACCACCTTGGTTTTGGTGGTTTTTAGCCAGCGTTTTTATTGCAAACTGTTTTATCAGCAAGGGCTTTATGACCTGTATCTTGTGCCAACCTCCTATTTCATCCTGTGACTTAGAATGCTTAACTGTCTAGGAATGCAGCCCAGTAGGTTTCAGCCTCATTTAACCCAGCTCCTATCCAAGATGGAGTTGCTCTGGTTCAAATGCCCCTGACATAACCAATGCCCATCTCAGTCATAATACAATTATTATACTTTACATAGTAAAATAAAGATCACAAAAGAAAATCACTCATAGAATATGAAAGGCTCAACATTACAAACTTATTCAATTATTACCTCTTGGTATTGAATGTGTTAATTTGCTATGTCTACTTACCTATCAGGGTCTGTAGCAGCATTATGAAAAGTCAATGCAATCCACAATAACATATTTTCTGTCTTTAATTTTATGTTTTCAGATTGGTTATAATTTTAAAATATGAAAGGACAGAACATATTCTGAATCATCCAGGATCGCATCTTATAACCTAGTACTGCCACAAGATTTAACTGTTCAGGTTTATATGTGAATTTATTTATTTATTTATTTTCATTTTTATTTATTTTTATTTTTTGAGAGACAGTCTCACTCTGTCTCCCAGGCTGGAGTGCAGTGGCACGAACTCAGCTCACCGCAACCTCTGCCTCCCAGGTTCAAACAATTCTCCCTGCCTCAGCCTCCCTAGTAGCTGGGATTACAGGCACACACCACCATGCCCAGTTAATTTTTGTACTTTTAGTATAGATGGGGTTTCGCCATGTTGGCCAGGCTGGCCTCAAACTCCTGACCTCATGTGATCCGCCTGCCTCGGCCTCCCGAAATACTGGGATTATAGGCATGATCCACTGCATCCCGCTTACATGTGAATTTAGTCATGTTGGTACCAAATGATCACATCCCAGTCAGAGCATGTTTGGCTGGCGTTAGGTGATCATGTCCTGATGTTAATGAGACAGGCGTCATCATGTGTCTGTTATTGTACTCTTGTTGGATTCTTTTGCTAATTATAAAGACAAAACTTCTCTTTTACAGTGATCAACTACAATTGAAAGGTATTTTCACAGACTAGGATTTTAGCTTCATACTTCATTTAATAAATTTAGAATGTTTTTATATCATGGAAATGAAAATGTGGTAGAATAATGTTCTACATTAATTGTCACAGGCTAATGAGAAAAGAACAGAAGCTGACCTAATATATAAATGAAATTTTGTACCAAATGAACAGTAAATGACATCAGAGCAAATGGTACAAACTTACAAAGATTTTATAATTGTTCAAATAGAGAATTCTGGTTGAATAATTAAATGATCACAAGGTACGTAATAGTATGAGCATATGAGATTCAAAAAAATCCATGCATAGTGGTAGATACTATTCATGTTCTCATGAGTATTCTGTGTAGATGTATCTTTATACAGTACGACCTGCAGCAGTTCATAAGGACTAATCAGTAATAAATAATAAAGAATTTTCTATTAAATTATATTTTAAAAATATTTATTGGTGTTAATTTTTGGGTGGATTGCAACAAGAATTGGCCTATTACACAATGGATTGTTGTTCAAATTTTTTTTTAAATGGCTGCAGTGACGGTTATGATGTAAAGGAATGGTCCATCCAACAGGCCTAACATTGTAAGTATACAAGTTAACAAAAAATAAAACAAATGCCTATAAGTATTCTTTAATAATTAAACCCACATAGATTTAGTTCAGCAAAATAACATATCATCTGTCACATTGAAATATTTTGAATAATTTTAACTACATATTTTTATTTGTATTGATGTGAAGCTCTGTTTGATTTTTTACAATTGTAAGCATGTTTGCATATACTTTGTTAAAATATAATAAAAAATAATTTAAGACAACAATGAGAGCATATGAAAATGTTTGGTTATACAAAAGTTTCCTTCACTTTATTTCTATATAAATTTTAAATAGATAAAGATTTTAATAGTAAAATTTACCATTGCTGAAATGCCTACTATACATATATCATTAATTACTATTCTCACTTTAAAAATTGAAAAATACATTCCAAGAGAAAAAATGATTTGTCCAAAGTCATATAATTACTAAGTTGCAGAACAAAGATTTGAAGTAAGATACTCATAGTTTTAATTTCTATTTAAAAATGAACAAAACAGAAATAACAAAAATAGCAAGTTTGGGAAAAGTTGACCTGTAGCCCTTATTCTCTTTTTATTTTTTATTTTTTTGAGACAGACTCGCTCTGTCACACAGGTTGAAATGCAGTGGCACAATCATGGCTCACTGCAGCTTTGACCTTCAGTGGCCCTTATTCTTTAACAGTAATTCTACAGTACAGCCAGGAATCTAATGAAGTTACTGTTAATTATGATGACAACTGGTCACTTGCATAAGAATAAAAAGCATTCTACACTAGCTCAGAAGTGCTCATCAAAAATAGAAAATCTTTTAGCAACTGCGCCATAAATATCACGTCCCCCCTTTTGTTTCTATTTTTTATTTTTTTAAAATAATTTCCACTTTTATTTTAGATTCAGGATGTACACATGCAGGTTTGTTACATGGACATATTGCATGATGCTAAGGTTTGGGGTATAATTGATCCTGTCACCCATGTAGTGAACATAGTACCGAATAGTTCATTTTTCAACTCTTGCCTAGGATCCTTTGTCCCCTGTCTCATAGTTCCCAGTGTCTGTTGCCATTTTTAAGTACACAAGTACACAATATTTATTCACAACTTATAAGTGAGAAAATGAAGTATTAGTTTTATGTTCCTGCATTAATTCACTTAGAATATTGGTCTCCAGCTGCATCCATGTTGCTGCAAAGGACATGATTTTATTCTTTATGGCTGTGTAGTATTCCAACGTGTATATGTACCACATTCTCTTTATCTGATCCACCACTGATGGGCAACTGGGTTGATTCTACATCTTTGCTATTGTGAATAGTGCTAAAGTGAACATGCAAGAGCATGTGAATTTTTTTTTTTTTTTTTGGTTCAAGGATTTCTTTTCCTTGGGATATATATCCAGTAATGGGATTGCTGGGTCAAACGGTAGTTCTTTTTTAAGTTATTGGAACAATCTCCAAACTGCTTTCCACAGTGGCTGAACTAATTTACATTCCTACCAACAGTGTTCCCTTTTCTCCACATCCCCACCAGCATCTGTTGTTTTTAAACTTTTTAATAATTGTCATTCTGACTGATTAAGTTAGTATCTCATTGTGGTTTTGATTTGCATTTCTCTGATGATTAGTGATGAGAATTTTTTTCATATTTTTTTGGGCTCATGCATGTCTTCTTTCAAGAGATAGTCTGTTCATGTCCCTTGCCCACTTGTTAAATGAATTATTTGTTTTCTGGTTTCTGAATTGTTTAAGTTTCTTATAGATTCTGGATATTAGACCTCTGTTGGATATGAATATTTTCTCTGTTCTATAGGTTGTCTGTTTACTCCCTTGATAGTTTCTCTCCCTTGATAGAAGCTCTTTAGTTTAATTAGGTCCCAATTGTCAATTTTCATTGCAACTGCTTTTGAGGACTTAGTCATAAATTATTTCCTAAGGCTGATGTCCAGAATGGTGTTTTCTAGGTTTTCTTCAGCATTCTTATAGCTAGAGGTCTCACATTTAAACCTTTAATCCATCTTGAGTTAATTTTTGTATATGCTGAAAGGTAGGGGTCCTATTCCATTCTTCTGCATATGGATAGCCAGCTATTGCAACACTATTTATTGAATAAAGAGTCCTTTTCCTATTGCTTACTTTTGTTGATTTTGTCAAAGAGCAGATGGCTGTAGAAGTGCAGCTTTACTTCTGGATTCTCTATTCTGTTGCATTGGTCTGTGTTTCTGTTTTTTTATAAGTACCATGCTCTTTTGGTTACTGTGGCCTTATACTGCAGTTTGAAGTTGGGTAAGATAATGCCACCAGCTTTGCTCTTTTTTCTGAGGATTGCTTTGACTATTTGGCTTCTTGCTGAGTTCCATATGAATTTTATAATAGTTTTTCTAGTTCTGTGAAAAATGACATTGTTAGTTTGATAGAAATAGCATTGAATTGGTAGACTGCTTTGGGCAGTGTGACCATTTTAACAATACTGATTCTTCCAACCAGTGAGCATGGAATGCTTTTCCATTTGTTTCTACCATCTATGACTTCTTTTAGCAATGTTTTATAGTTCTCCTTGTTGAGATCTTTCACCTCCTTTGTTAGATATATTTCTATTTTCTTATGACTATTGTAAATGGGATTACATTATTGATTTGGCTCTCAGCTTGAACATGATTGGTATACAGAAATGCTACTAATATTTCTATACTGATTTTGTATATTGAAACTTTACTAAGTCATTTTTCATATTTAGGAGTCTTTTGGTGGGGTCATTACAGTTCTCTAGGTAAAGAATTATATTGTCAGCAAAAAGAGATAGTTCGACCTCTTATTTTCCTATTCATATGCCTTTTATCTCTTTCTCTGGCCTTATTCCTCTAGCTAGGACTTTCACTAGAATGTTGAATAGGAGTGGAGACAGTGGGCTTCCTTTTCACATATCAGTTTTCAAGGAGGATGCCTCCAAATTTTGCCCATTCAGTATGATGTTGACTGCATGTTTGTCATAGATGACTCTAATTATTTTGAGGTATGTTCCTTTGATGCCTAGTTTGTTGAGGATTTTTATCAGGAAGGGATGTTAGATTTTATTAAAAGCTTTTTCCACATCTATCAACATAATCATATGGTTTTTTTTTAATTCTGCTTCTGTGGTGGATCAGATTTATTGATTTGTGTGTATTGAACCAACCTTGCATTCCGGGAATGAAGCCTACTTGATTACGGTGAATTCACATTTTGAGATGCTGCTGGATTTAGTTTGCTAGTACTTGATTGAGGAATTTTGCTTCTATGTTAATCAGGGATATTGGCCTTTGGTTTTCTTTTTGCATAGTGCCTTTGCCAGGTTGTGATATCAGGGTGATGCTGGCTTCCTAGACTGAGTTAAGAAGCAGTTCTTCCTTCTCGATTTTTGGGAATAGTTTCAGTAGAATTGGTACCAGCTCTTCTTTGTACATCTGGTAGAATTTGACTGTGAATCCATCTGGTCCAGTCTGGGGTTTTTTTGGTTGGTAAGTTTTTATTACTGATTCAATTTCTGAACTCAATTTTGGACTGTTCAGGGTTTCAATTACTCCCTGATTCAGTATTGGGAGATTGTGTGTTTCCAGGAATTTATCCATGTCCTCTAGATTTTCTTGTTTGCAAGCATGGAAATATTCATGACAATCTCTGCGGATCTTTTGTATTTCTGTGGCATTGGTTGTAATGTCACCTTTGTCATTTCTGATTGTGTTTATCTAGATCATCTTCCTTTTTTTCTTTGTTATTCTAGCTAGCAGCTTATCAATTATTTATATTTCAAAAGCACAACCTTTGGTTTTATTTTTAGTATGCATTTTGGTTCTCAATTTTGTTCAGCTGTGCTCTGATTTTAGTTACTTCTTTTCTTCTGCTAGCTTTGGGGTTAGGTTGTTCTTGTTTTTCTAGTTTATCTGGGTGGGATGTTAGGTCTTTAACCTGAGATATTTCTAACGTTTTGAGGTAGGTATTTAGTGCTATAAACTTTCCTCTTAACAGTGCCTTAGCTGAATCTCAGATATTTTGGTATGTTGTGTTTCTGGTTTTATTTAATTCAAAGAATTTTTAAATTTCTGCCTTAATTTTATTGTTTACCCAAAAGTCATTCAGGAGCAAGCTGTTTAATTTTCATGTAATCATATGGTTTTGATAGGTCTTTTTGGTATTGATTTCAATTTTTCTTCAACTGTGATCCAACAGTATGGCTGATATGGTATCAGTTTTTAAAAATTTACTGAGACTTGATTTATAGCTGAGCATGTGGTTGATCTTGAAGTATTCTCTATGTACAGATGAGAAGAATGTATATTCTGTGCCTGATGTGTGGAGTATTATGTAGATGTCTATTAGGTTCCATTGGTCAAGTGTCAAATTTATGTCGTTAATTTCCTTATTAGTTTTCTGCCTCGATGATCTAACACTTTCATTATGGTGTTGAATTCCCCCACTAGTATTGTACGGTTGTCTAAGTCTTCTTCATGTCTAAAAGTACTTATTTTATGATTCTGGGTGCTCCAATGTTGAGTGCATATATATTTATATATTTATGATATTTAAGTCTTCTTAAATATTTAGGATAGTTAAGCCTCCTTGTTGAATTGAACCATTTATCATTATGTAATGCCTTTCTTTGTCCTTTATTACTGTTGTAGGTTTAAAGAATGTTTTATCTAACATGAGATTAGTGATACCAGCTCCTTTTTGTTTTCTGTTTGTGTGATCTTTCTCCAACCCTTTACTTTGAACCTAGGGTTGTTATATATGAGCTGTTATCCCCCACTTTTAATAAAATATTCACTATTAAGAAATGTGGCTGGGGACAGTGGATCACATCTGTAATCCCAGCACTTTGGGAGGCTGAGGCAGGTAGATTGCTTGAATCCAGGAGTTCAGGACCAGCCTGGGTAAAACAGCAAAAACTAATCTCTACAAAAAATACAAAAATTAGCTGGGCATGGTGACATGTTCCTGTAGTTCCAGCTACCTGGGAGGCTGAGATGGGAGGATCTCTTGAGCCTGGGAGGCAGACGTTGCAGTGAGCTAAGATAGCGCCACTGCACTCCAGCCTGAGTGACAGTGAGACCTCACCTCAAGTAAACAAAGAAGTCAATTTTATAGGGAAAACAATTGTTTTTCTTATTCTCCTCACTCTTACTCTTTTTCCCCTTTTTTCTCTTCTTCCTCCTCCTTTCTCCTTCTCCTCTTCCTCTTCTCCTTATATTTTTTATCCCCTTTTCCCATTTCACATGTCTCCTGATATCCTTGTCTACCTCCAGAGACATTTCTCCTGTGTTGATCTTGTAAGTAGGAAACTTAGCCTTAGTAGATGGACTTAGAATGAAAACAGCTCCATTGCCTGGGAGAAGAATTTCATTTATATTGCATGTGGAATACAACAGTCTAAAACCCAAAAATCCAAAATTGTTTAACACTAAATCACAGTGTTTGCTGGAGGGAATAAATATATCAGAAAGGCATAAGACCTTTTCAAATAAAAACAAATCAAATATTTATTGAGTATCTACCATATGCGAGGGCTAGAGTAGTATGTAGAGAATGAAAAGAAGTATGGGCAGGCCTTGTCTTCAGATTGGGTGTGCAGAATTTTAAATTTTAATGCAAACTAAATAATGGCTCAAGGAAATTATAGAAAAAGTTAAAAGTAATTTAAGATTAATTTATACATAAACAGTGAAGACAAATGCAAAGTTAAGAGAAGACAGAATCTTAATTGTATCTGGAAATTTTACAAGGATTTGCATACTTTGGAAAGTAAAAATACAGTGGGATTATCATTGGATTAAAGTGACAAATTATTGTGATCAATTCTCTGTTTATTAAACAAATCAATAACAAAATGATTTAAGAAAATCCCAAAGCACTAATGAAGATATTCATCTGGAGAAACTGTATATCCTTAACAAGAGTAGCAGGAATAATAGCAGTGGTAATTGTAGTTAACAGTAGTAGTTATGCTGGTAGTTAACACCTGGAGAAAACCTGCTGCGTCTACTACCAAGAACTGTATGTGATGCTCCAGACTCACCATGAATCTGAAATATTCAACGTGGCAGGTCATGAGTAATTATAAATTGTTTATTTTTTCCTTAATTGCTGGATTCCATGTTTTACATTTAAATCTGTCCTAACTTAAATATTAGAATCGTCAGAGATATGAATTGTATAGGAAGAGAAGGTATTTGGGGATAAGGCAAAATGAAAAAGGGTTTTTTTTTTGTTTTATTTTCACACACATGTTTCCAGTTTTGCTGCTTCGTTTTGGAAAGAGGTAATTCCATGTCAAAATCAGGCCAAGTGAAAAATGCACACACAGTCATCTTCATTTTCATTATCTGGAGTAGTTCAAAAGGCTCAAAAAATGGAACTATTCTCAAAGAAAGGAATGCATGTTCAGGTAATTACAAATAACAGACGCATCTGGTTATCTTAATTGTTTGGGAATGTCTCAATTAGCTGAGAATGTTTTCATGATGAGTTGGAGACAGTGAAAATTTTTCACAGCAGATTGGATTCACTGGTGAGAGGAAATATAGGCAGCTTACCCTGAAGTCTATTTATGACTACAGAATCCATTCAAAGATCCAGATCTTTTGAGTTTCATTTGCCTGTAAAGGGAATATAAATGTCATTTTTGTTTTTGTTTGTCTAATCTCTTCAGCCTCATTGTTGGCCTGAGGAGCAGGCAGGACTGTTAATGCTGTGGGGACCCAGGCTGAGTCAAGTACATCCAGCCTCTCATTCTTCATCTAGACCATAGTTCTATTTCTTTACAGAAGTTGCATTCTCATTGAAATTTAAGTTTCAGGCTTCCATAGTAATTTGGGATTGCTCCTTTAGAAGCATAGAATGATCCAAAACTACAGGCACATTCTCAATTTGAATTAGAGCGGGTGGATTTTAGATACATTGAAGAACTTCATACTGGCATACTTTAGTCAGTTACTCAGCGACGTCATTTGCCCAAGACCTGCCATGATAGGATTGCCACCATACTACCCTATCATGTCTCAAGTAGGACAAATTCAATCCAGATTTTTCCCTTTTCTGAGCTTTACTTGTTTTTTAAAGAAACAGATTTGTCAACTGCAAGAAAGTACATATGCAATTACTATGATATCAACAAATCAACATTTCATCCTCCCAAACCTCTGCTGTGGGTGAAAAGCCCCTCTAGTCAATTCCCTTGCTCTTGGTTTATTAATACAGATTAAAAGAGAGGGACTCATCTATTGCGGGGTCAATTTTCAATGAAATTGTTTAGAAATGCTTCAAGACTGAGTTTTCTAATCTTGACAAATACTCTCTAAAGCCAGAGGAAGCGTTTCATAGTTTCTAGTGAAGAGGTTATGAACTATTAGACATCATTAATTCTTTGCTTAATAGCCACCTTTGCATATAAAATATGGGCTGGGTTAATCCTATAGATAGAAGGAATGCATACCCAGGGTTAATCTAGCTAGCAAGTGGATGCCTCATTGCCACCAAACAAATTCAGATCAACATTATTTATCTGGAAGCCCTTGAAATAGAACACAGCCTCCTCCTCCAAATCTTTCTTACCCATAGGGACCAGGAGGGGAAACCCAATGTTCTCTGGCAATTAACTACTCCTGAAAAGTGAGTCAGCCTCTTAATTTTTCCATGCAGTCTCACATATATGCAGCAAAACGCTTAGAGAGTATTGAAGAGAGGGGTACAAATGAAAGGGTGGGCATCAAAATAGGGAGATGTTAGGGAAATAGATGCTTCACTTCCACTCTCATGGGGTAATACATAAGACCATGGTACCTCAACTATCTTTCAACTTCTAGCCTGTAGATTCTCCTTTTCAGAGGTAGAAACTACTCCTTGCTGTTTAACAGAGATTTACAAAGTTACAAGAGGCCCTAGTTAATTTGACATTTAGTCAATAGTAGTTTATTTTTAATTCTGGGTCCTTAGAGCAGAAAATATCAGTATAATTTGTCCTGAGTTAATACATAAAGAAATTGATCCCAAGAGCTCAGATCTTAGGGCTTCCCTCCTACCATACATTTTCTCACTGGATCCTTGCTTTTCCACCATGCAGATGTTGGACAACTAATTGTTGGGTTACATACAAACCCTTCATGTTTCGGAAGATAGCAAATGATCTCTTTACTTACATAGGCTGAAAAGCTTTTTATTCACAAATGAAATAGTAAGTGGTCATAATATAGACATATAAAATCTGTCCTTAAAGAGCATCTTCTCACCCCTTATTCCATACCTTTTCACCTAGAAGCACTCTGGTCTGGGGACCCCCCACTTTAATAAACACCACTATCCTGCAAGGTTTCCAATTTTCACCTTCCCCAAATCTACAAGAATAAGAATCCATTTCAGAAAATCATCTGCCATGGCTCTTCAATACCAATTCATCCTTCAGGGTTCACTTAAGTCTGCCCCCCACCAACTTCTCTGAAGTCTTTTATCACTGTCCCAGATCCTAAAGACTTTATATCTCACAGAAGTTATAGTATTTAGTTGACAGTGGGTCATTTGAACATTCCGTTAAACCCATTGCTGCTTGTATTGCTGTGTATCTAATGAGACACATAACCTTTTTAAGGACAGTAATGTGCTTTGTGTATTTAGGACTATGCTTGGCCGACACTGAATTCTCAGTTAGACTAGGCTGAGGGGAGACACATCTGCCAGGTTGTAATCATAGGTCAATTCATCCCATATTCTTTCCAGCTGGATGCTTTAGGCTTCATGACTTCCAGGAAATCATTTCTTTCATTTTGAAAGTTAAATATCAAGGTGATGTTGGTTTCATTACCAAGAGAAGATCAAGGGAGGTTTACAATGTAAGAAATGGCCTTACAGATTATGAAGACCAATATTCACTTATTACAAACAAGGCAGCAAAAGTTCAGACGTTGTTTCTAATTCAGATGACGATATATTTTGGCTATCAAGTTAAAAATTGCAGGTGGCAATGCTACACATATATACACAGACATTGATTAAGAGGACACTAGGACTGACACAAACCAAGTAGCTCAGAATTCAACAGAAATTCCCCAAAGCAAAAAGAAGAGGTCTTTGGGAATGGAAGAGAGTGTTTAGCCATCAGAGTCACAGAGAACTGGCCTCAAAGTTCAACTATGTGGCTCGGGCAATCACGAAGCCTCTCTGAGCCTGTTTCTTTACCTGCAAAATGGAAGTAATAATACCTCACAGAATAAAATGAGTCTCAGCATGTAATAGCTACAAGCATATAAACAAGTGCATTCTCATTAACCCTAATACTCAAATCTTGTTGCCCCAACATCCAACCTAATTTGTTCAGAAAGACGGGACCTAACATAGTTACTCCTCCTCAAATATTTCCAACCCCAAGGTGGTTTTCCTCCTTCCACTGACCTGCCCTAATTTTCCATCTCTGCTATAATTAGCTTAGTTGAGATTCCATAGAACTTAGAAAGTGCCCCAAGAGGTCATGCTCTGAGTTGAAGCCTTGCTCTCTTTATTCACATTACAGCTGAGGTGATGGCTGAGAAAGAAATCACCTCACTGTCTCCTCAATAGAGTAAGAGCCAGAGCCATGGCATAGTGCCACTGAATCCGGCCCTCCAGTGTGCTTCCATCTAAAGCCAGTGGTACTCACGGGTCCAGTGAGTTGCATCTCCATACTCAGAGTCAGGAGCAGACTGGCTCCTTCTTGGAGATTTGTTTGAATTGGAGAAGGGAGAGCGGGATAACACAATAAAATTGACTGAAGCCTAAAGTATTATATCTTTTAATCTTGGTGTCTTTTCCATTGGGAAATTATGACTTCCTTCTCTCAGTGCTCTTAGATAGACCACCAGAGTAGCTAGAACAGAGCAGTCTTGGCACCTACCACCATGTTGTACCCAGGACCATTAATTCACACTTGGCTCAGCCTCTGTTACTGTGCCTGTTTGGGTGCCAGACTTTACCTTTGGTTATGACATGGTGTCTCATGGGGCCCATTACTTCTGTCTGTGCTCTGGCCTCCACATATAATTCTACCCAAGTCTGACTCTTTCTCTGCTTGCCTCTCTGCCTCTAAAATTCTCTTACTCCCAGGAGTCTCTTATACCTCTGTGAAATCAGTGGACACAAAAGTCATGTGACTTCTTTCTGATTCAACTCTTGAGCTACAGCACTTTTGTCCACCTAGCCATATACATGAATGTCAAAACACTGAATAAATATGTGACACATACCACACACAAAGAAAGAAAGTAAAAAGCAAGAGGTTAGGAGAAGCAAGGAGTAGGAGAGCCATGTGAATACCTCTCCAGAAAATGAAACTGAAATTAAATGGCTTATGTCAGTCAAAGTAAGCTGGAAGATGGCTGAGCTTCCACTCTAAGTGTCAAACAGATATGTAGGCTTACATATTAATTGGATAATTGGTGTGATGCTTCCAATTCAAATATATAGTCACAGATTAAACTTATGCCTGTGTTCCATTATTGGAACGCTAAGCATGTGGGAGTTATTTATATCCTACTGCTCAAAATCATCATCAAGGTCTGATTTCAAAAATTCAAAAATTCAAAAATTGCAACCTCAGGCATAAATGGGTTAAGCCAAATCTTGATAGTTTACCACCCACTTTTAGGTTTTTTGTTTGTTTTTATCCATCTGATATTTCTAATCAGCACTGTTCCACACACCACATGGAGGAAAGAGAATGGTGAACACAGCTAGAGGACCCTGGAAAAAAATCTAGAGGAAGACTACTGATAGAAAAGTATCACAATTTTTATAGGAAAAAGTTGGAGTTTTAGTGCAAGAAGGCTTAACTCCTTGAATCACACAGTCAAATGCACTAATTTTTATAGACAAGGACAAAGGGCACAGAGAGGTTATAAGTAAAACCAATATATTATTCCTCAGAGTATTAGGTAGAAGCTTAATTAGTTTAAGAGAATCATCAGAGGAGACAATTAGACTTAATGACATTTCCTAGATTTTCTGGGCATAGTATATATAAAATAATTTCAACGGGTGAATCTTTGATTTCTAGTTAGTATACATAGGACCAAGATTATGGTAGTCATTATATACACTGAATCTAGTTATGGGAACATTGATATTTGCAATTTGTAGATGTTTCATACAGGTTCAGGGACAAACATTTAAATATCATTATTTGATATTAGGAGAAACTGAGCCAAGTGTGTTAGGAATAGTACCAGACTAGAAAGCAGGTATTCTTGTCCTGACTCTTCACAAACTTCCCAAGCTGCAGAGAGGGATATGCTGTCCCCATGCCATTTTTAATGGTACCTGGCAGCTCTTCTCATCATGAAATGATGTCTACTTCTCTATTCCATGAATCTGGGCTGGCTTTGTAATTCCTTTGTTCAATGGATTTGATTGATGGAATATGGCAGGAGTGACAGCATGCCAGTTCTGAGCCTGGACCTCAGGAAGCCTTGCTGTCTCTCTCTCTTACTTTCTCTACCTCCTGCTATGAGAACAAGCCCAGTCTAGCCTGCTACAGGAGGAGAGACCACGAAGGGTGCAAAATTCAGCCAAGTTTTCCCAGCCAAGGACTCAGACATGTGATTGAACCAGCTAAGACTGCAAAACAGCCTAGCTGACCTGAAGCTGAACTCAGATGCAAGAGTGAGCCCTACTGATACCAGAACTGGCAATGAACCCACAGCCTCAAGAGTAATAATAAATGCTTATTATATTAAGTAACATCTTTTAGGGTTGTGGTAGTTGTTCTTGCATCATTATTGTGATAACAGACAACTGATACAGGGACATATATTTCTGAAGGAACAAGCTCCTTCTATAACATTAGTATGGCTCTGATTTCTGGTGGAGTAGATTAGATGTTCCTAATTTGACTGTGAAGAAAAATGTAGAGATATAAATACAAATACAAATATATCTGTATATTCATGTAAATGTGCATGTGCATATATATATATACACACACACAGAGTATATATAGAAATACATATATATGTGATATATATAATCACATCTGTAGCTATGACTAACTTTAAACATATATGTTTACCTATATCTAGATTAATGGACACAAACTGTAAAATCAGACAAGATGCTTTACACAGAGCTTCTCAACCTGATACATTCATCTTCATATAAAGGTAAATTACTCATTTCTGTCATTGAGGATTTACTAAAGGCATGATTGAGAGTATATCTTGTGCACTGGCATAAACTTGGCCAGAGCAGATTTATTTAGTAGGTTGGGTAACTAACGTATCTTTCGATTTAGCCAAACACGGGTTTTATTTGCTCACCCATCTTTTTTCCCTCTTATTATGGTTTGGGTGGCCCTGCATAAGATTTGTTCACATCAGTGATTAGTCCCTGTATCATTTTTATAGGGCTATTTTTAAAAGGTGCTTATTTAAGTGACTGGTAACTAATCATAGTTCTATAATTGACTGAAAAGTTGACTCAGTGTAAAATTCAAATTAAATTGAAAAGAAGCCCAAACCCTCATTATAAATTTTTCTTCCCAGCTCCACAAACACTCATTTTACAAACAGCAAAAGCATGAAGAGACAAAGTTTGCCTTCCTGCAAAAAATATGTTCAACAATTACAGACCAAAACTTATAGCAAAGGAAGAACGTTCCTCTTTCTTTGCAGTGACACTAATAAAAGGAAAGAAATATAAGTACTGCTTAGTGTAGGCTGGGAAATGCCTAAATTTTAAAATTAGAATAGTAGCATTTTATTTCTGGACAAGCTCGACTGATCTTTTTACACAGAGCGACAGACAGGCTTAGAGGGGCATGACCTCATTGCAAAGATTTGGGCTTCAAAGGCCGCTCCTCAAACCTCTTGCTGATCACCTGCCCTTCTACCACCCCAAATTAAACATTTAAAAGTTTTGAAGCCTTCTTGCTTTACATGAAACATTTTTCTACCATCCTTCAGTCAATTACCCAGAGGCCAAAAATATCTCTTCCCCCATTCAGCCCATGGCACCTCCACTGTGAAGTGCTCTAAATCCATTAACAGGGCCCTCTCTGCATGCTACATCATCAGAGGAACAAAGCCATGATGATGTAGAACAACCCATGTCCATGTATATCACTAGAGTTCTAGCCTCTTGATCAGCCGGTGGGTTTAATAAACATTCCAGATGGCTTGCTCTGCCTGAAGGAAGAATGGATAATCACACTGCATTCCCTTCCACACAATAATAAAATAAGGCCATGGTAGCACAGAAGCCCAAGCCTGCCAAAAACACTGAAAGGACTGCTTAGAACAATAGAACCAAGTGATTGGAAGGCACATCAGTGCCCTCACCCTTTATAAGGGAAGGTGGCCTGCTTTCCTATAAAGCAGGCAAACCAATTGTGTTATGCAACAGCTCTGCTAAAAAATAAAGAAAGCAAAAAAATAAACAAATAAACCAAAACAACAACAAAAAACTTCATCTAAATACTTTCCTTTAAAAGTATTTGGTACAAAGGAAATTTAAATAAAAGCTCAGAAATAAATTCTTTGTGAGCCAGAATTCTGAGCTATGCATACATAGCCTGAGACATACAGCCATGGGTTAATTCTTGTAACCAGCAGCAGAAAGGATTTGATGAGCTTTATATTCATTCTAAGGAATATAAGTGGGATTCCATAATTAGAGTACATGGGAGAATTCTGGGGAGTATCTATAGAGGCTTCAAAAAATGGACTCACAGAAGGAATTGAGGTGAGCACCAATGGTCAGTCCTTATAGCATCTATCTCTCATCTCTTTCATGTTGCTCTGAATTCTTCCACCTTTTGCTCCTCGAGTAGTATCTTTGGCTCTTTTGACTGATGCCCCATTTGCCATAATTAATATGCCCTTGATTGATAACTTATATTCCTTTTGAATTTAAAACATGATTTTCTTGCTATGGGATTGAAGTATATCAGAATTGGAACTTAAAGTCTTCCCAATAGTTATCAAGAAAGGCCTATGCAGGGCACAGAGGATTTTCAGGGCAGTGAAACTCTTCTGTATGATACTGTGATGGCAGATACATGTCATTATAAATTTGTTCAAACCCTTAGAATGTACATCAAGAAAAAACTCTGATATGGTTTGGCTGTGTCCCCACCTAAATCTCAACTTAATGTATCTCCCAGAATTGCCACATGTTGTTGGAGGGACCTAGGGGGAGGTAATTGAATCATGGGGGCTGGTCTTCCCCGTGCTATTCTTGTAATAGCGAATAAGTCTTATGAGATCTGATGGGTTTATCAGAGGTTTCTGCTTTTGCTTCTTCCCCATTTTCTCTTGCCGCTGCCATGTAAGAAATGCCTTTCACATCTCACCATGATTCTGAGGCCTCTCCAGCCATGTGGAACTCTAAGTCCAATTAAACCTTTTTTGTTCCCACTTTCGGATATGTCTTTATCAGCAGTGTGAAAACAAACTAATATGGTACATTGGTACCAGTAAAGTGCGGCATTGCTCAAAAGATACCCAAAAATGTGGAAGTGACTTTGGAACTGGGTAACAGGCAGATGTTGGAACAGTTTGGAGGGCTCAGAAGAAGACAGGAAAATATGGGAAAGTTTGGAACCTCCTAGAGATTTGTTGAATGGCTTTGACAAAAATGTTGATAGTAAAATGAACAATAAGGTTCCTGGCTGAGTTGGTCTCAGATGGAGATGAGGAACTTGTTAGGAACCAGAGCAAAGGTGACTCTTGTTATGTTGTAGCAAAGAGACTGGTGGCATTTTGCCCCTGCCCTAGAGATTTGTGGAACTTTGAACTTGAGAGAGATGATTTAAGATATCTGGTGGAAGAAATTTCTAAGCAGCAAAGCATTTGAAAGGTGACTTGGGTGCTGTTAAAACATTCCATTTTAAAAGGGAAACAGAGCATAAAAGGTCAGAAAATTTACAGCCTGACAATGTAGTAGAAAAGAAAAACCCATTTTCTGAAGAGAAATTTAAGCTAGCTGCAGAAATTTGCATAAGTAGCAAGAAGCCTAACATTAATCCCCAAGACCATGGGGAAAATGTCTCCAGGCCATGTCAGAGACCTTCACAGCAGTCCCTCCAATCACAGGCCGAGAGGCCCAGGAGGAAAAAGTGGTTTTATTGGCTGGGCCCAGGGTCCCCATGCTGTGTACAGCCTAGGAACTTGGTGCCCTGTGTCCCAGCCACTACAGCTGTGGCTGAAAGGGGCCAATGTACAGCTTGGGCTGTGGCTTAAGAGGGTGGAAGCCCCAAGCTTTGGCAGCTTCCATATGGTGTTGAGCCTGCAGGTGCACAGAAGTCAAGAATTGAGGTTTGGGAACCTCTGCCTAGATTTCAGAAAATGTATGGGAATGCCTGGATGTCCAGGCAAAAGCTTGCTGAAGGGGTGGGGCCCTCATGGAGAACCTCTGCTAGAGAAGTGTGGAAGGGAAATGTGGGGTTTGAGTCCCTACTGGGGTACTGCCTAATGGAGCTGTGAGAGGAGGGCCACCATCCTCCAGACCCCAGAATGGTAGATCCACTGATGGCTTGCACCTTGTGCCTGGAAAAACCGCAGACACTCAACACCAGCCCATGAAAGCAGCCGGGAAAAAGACTGTATCTTGTAAAGCCACAGGGATGAAGCTGCCCAAGACCATGGCAGTCTACCTTTTGCATCAGTGTGACCTGGATATGAGACCTGGAGTCAAGGGAGATCATTTGGGAGCTTTAAGATTTGACTGCCCCACTGCATTGTGGACTTGCATGGGGCCTGTAGCCTCTTTGTTTTGGCCAATTCCTCCCATTTGGAATGGCTACATTTACCCAATACCTGTACCCCCATTGTATCTAGGAAGTAACTAGGTGGCTTTTGATTTTACAGGCTCATAGGCAGAAAGGACTTGCCTTTTCTCAGATGAGACTTTGGACTGTGGGCTTTCAGGTGAATACTGAAATGAGTTAAGACTTTGGGGGACTGTTGGGAAGGCATGATTGGTTTTGAAATGTGAGGACATGAGGTTTTAAGGGGACAGGGGCAGAATGGTATGGTTTGGCTGTGTGCCCACCCAGATCTCAACTTGAATCGTGAGTCCCAGAATTACCACATGTTGTAGGAGGGACCCAGGGGGAAGTAATTGAATCATGGAGGCTGGTCTTTCCTGTGCTATTCTCATGATAGTGAATAAGTCTCACAAGATCTGATGGGTTTATTGGGGGGTTCTGCTTTTGCTTCTTTCCCATTTTCTCTTGTTTCCACCATGTAAGAAGTGCCTTTCACCTCCTGCCATGATTCTGTGGCCTCCCCAGCCTCAAGACTGAGAAGACATAACCAAGACTGGGAAGAAAAAAGATTTAATTGGACTTACAGTTCTTATGTAGAACTGTAAGTCCAATTAAATCTTTTTTCTTCCCAGTCTTGGTTATGTCTTTATCAGCAGTGTGAAATGGGCT
Source organism: Homo sapiens (assembly GCF_000001405.40). Lineage (NCBI taxonomy): Eukaryota > Metazoa > Chordata > Mammalia > Primates > Hominidae > Homo > Homo sapiens. The sequence goes on from NC_000002.12 coordinate 59,509,309, forward strand.
AGTACAAACTCCAATATAAACTATGGACTTTGGGTGATAACTATGTGTCCATGTCATTTCATCAATTGTAATAAATGTGCCACTCTGGTGCCAGATGTTGATATAGGGGAGTCTCTGCATATGTGGGGATGGGGGACATATGAAAAATCTCTGTACCTTCTGCTCAATTTTTCTGTAACCCTAAAGCTGCTCTAAAAGATAAAGTCTACTAAAAAAGAAAGAAAGGCGTATGTTTTCCCTTTCTTGATGGCCAATTTGGGGACATTAACTTAGAAGCCTCAGCAACATGCCTAAGAGTCTGATGCACACAAATAAAAATGTTCAAGTTCTGACTATGTTGATCCACATACCAGAGTACACGCAGGTTTCCTAAGGGGAAGATAAAGGTGCCTTAGAAGGAAAGGTGCCTATAATTAAGGGGCACATATTGCTGGCTCCCATCTCTCCTGGCAGTGCTTCCTACTGTTTATGACTTGTGGGTCGTTATGGTGAAGGGAAGAGGAATGAGCTGATACAGGGTGTGAATGATGTTGCAATCTAAGGGGGAGTATACTCATTTAAGAACCTGTAAGGATCTTTAAGCATACTCATTTATGCCTTATAGAATATTTGGGAAAATTTAGTCTTTTAAGTGGGTCTTGATATTTGACATCTTCTTTTCCTGTGATATCAGCTTGTTTCATAAAGCTAATAAATCAAACCTTGTGCAAACCAAACAGTTATTTCTCTCTCTTTAATTAAGTATTTAACATATCAAAAAGCTAATAATAATAATGTGGTAACGTAACAAACATCAAAGGAACTATGTTATATTATGGGTCCTGTTAAGATACCAGTTTTCTAATTTGCCGTTAAATATAGTGCATTTTAAATCAAACTTCAGTTAGTAATATTTTCAAAGAAATTCACCTGGATTAAAAATAGGTATAAAACAAAACTATGCTGAAAAAGAGGAATAATATAAAAATATATGATAAAACTACAATAATTAAAACAGTGTGATACTAGACCATGAGCAGAGGAAAACAACAGTAAAGTCCATATCAATTTAGTACAAAATAAAAGTTGCTTTTCAAATCACTTAGAGAAATATTTGGCTAATGATACTTTCAATTTAACAGTGGGTTTGTCCAGATGTGACTACAGTGTAAGTCAAGGAGTATACACCTTCTGCACCATTGTAAAGTAAAAAAATCATAAGGCAAACCATCATAAATTAGAAACCATCTGTGTATACACACACACAAACACACCAATACACACACACATACACACAAGTACAGTAATTCCTACATGTATCCAAAAGCTCCTATAAATAAGTCAATACAGATAAACCATTAAAAATAATAAAATATTTGAATAAGCAATTCACAAAAGATTATATCCACTTAGCCAATAAAGCATTTTAATAGCCAATAAATGAAGGGGCATCACCTCATTCATCATTAAGAAAACGAAAATAAAACCATCCATCAGAATGAAAATACCTGACAATACCAAAATATTCAAGGAAATCTCATAAATTGCTGTGAGAGTCTAAATTGTTAAATTTATCTTGGAAGACTGGCAGTAGCTACTAATGTTGAACATATGCATACCCTATGGCCTCATGACTTCACTTTTAGTTATATAAGTAACCAATAAACGTATATATGTGCAAATATATATATATATATACACACACACACACAAACATTCATGCAAGCTATAAGTACAGGAGATAGAAACAGAAACAACTAATCGTCCATCAATGGTAGAGTAAATAAATAGTGGCATAGTCATACAATAGTATATTATATACCAATGAAAACAAATTAACTGTTGCTCATGAGACAATATAGATCAATCTCACTAACACATGTTGAAAAAACATGCCAAACACAAAAGAGTCTCTACTACAGGATTTCATTTACTTAAATAAAAAGCCAACCTGGCTTTGAATTTGGTGATAGATATCAGCATATGGATTAACTTTAAGACAGGAGCGATGATGGGGAAAGACATAATAGAGTCTTCCGCAGGTGACAGGAAGGTTTATTAAACAATAAACCAGATCAAACATCCGGGTGGTGGTTATGCACATGTGTTCACTTTTTAAAAATCCACTAATGATTTACCTACTCTTCTATATGTGTTTGGCACTTCAGTTTAAAGTTTAGTTAATTTAAAAAGGGAGAGATTGGAAAATGAACTGATAAGATCGATTGTGCTAGCCATTATTATGGAATCGTTTCTATTTCTGGCAAAGAGTTTGGGGAAAAATATATAAATCAGGGTTTCAACAAAAAAATACATTCAAATTGTCATAATTGGAGAATGATATAATAAAGGGATTACCTACAAAGGTATGGCTGGGATGTAGGAGAATTGCAAAAGATAGTGTCATGACCTAAAGTAGTAATATTAGACCCATCATTACCCATCACATGAAAATAAAACAAAAATAAAAACAATAGTGACATAGAAGGGCTAGTAGAACCTGGAAGGAGAGAATCACATAATGAAATGAAAAGCTACCCTGAGAAAGCCTTTGGCTGAGAGACCAGCCAGCCCTAGACAAGGACCGGCAAGGAGGGGCCAAAAGAATAAATTTTTATACCACCCTTTTTGTTTTAGTCAGGGTTCTCCAGCGAGAAAAAACTGATAGAATAGACAGAAAAAATATATATGAGAAATGATTTATTAGGGGAATTGACTCACTCTATTATGGAGGCTGAGAAGTCCCATGATAGGTCATCTGTAAGTCAGAGAACCAGGGATACCGGTGGTGTGGATCAGTCCAAGTGCGAAGGGCTCAGAACGAACGTCTGAGAGCCTGACACCGGGGAGGCTGCTTTCTGGACTCAGGTGCAAGTCCTGAGTCCAAAAGCCAGAGAACCTGGAGTTCTGGCGTCCAGCTGCAGGAGAAAAAGAGCATTCAGCCTTCAAAAGAGAAAACCAGAATTCACCTTCTGCCTTTTTGTTCCCTCCGGGTTTCCAGATGATTGGATTGTGCCTGCTTACATTTAGGATGGCTCTTCCTCACACAGTTTACCAACTTACACATGGATCTCCTTCAGAAATACCCTCAAAGACACAACATGGGGCAGCCCAATTATTCTAATCAAATGCCAAACCACCTGGGTTTCACTTTCAGTAGAAGAGGGATAGGTTCAGTGCCTACTGAAGCAATGAAAATAATGCAATGATTGAGAATAAATACTGATGGCCAGGTGCAGTGGCTCAAGCCTGTAATACCAGCACTTTGGGAGGTTGAGGCGGGCAGATCACGAGGTCAGGTGTTCGAGACCAGCCTGGCCAATATGGTGAAACCCCCGTCTCTACTAAAAATATAAAAAAAAGAGCTGGGCATGGTGGCTCACGCCTGTAGTCCCAGCTACTCAGGAGACTGAGGCAGGAGAATTGCTTGAACCCAGGAGGCGGAGGTTGCAGTGAGCCGAGATTGCGGCACTGCACTCCAGCCTGGGTAATAGAGGGAGACTCTGCGTCAAAAAAACAAACAAACAAACAAAAAAACAAATACTGCTTTACCAGCTATCTGGGTATCCCTTAATTCAAATTGACACCCCAAATCAACTATCACACTCTTCTTCCTCCCTCTAATCTCTTGACAGCACTTACAATTTTATGAACCCAATTAGAAACACAAGAGAACCTTTAATGTTTTCCACACAGTCAGTTTCTAACTGCAGAAAGAGGGTGGAAAGGGATGGAGGATGGATCTAAAGGGCCAAATGGAGGGCAGAAATATATAGAAAAGTAAATGAATAAAAAAGAAATCCAATTATTAATGAGGGAGCTTATATAGGAAACCATATAATTATATATCAGATGTCTTGACTGTGAACATGATGTATCTAGCCACATTAAATAAACACTAAGCATTGAGATATTGAGGTAACTTAACAATTGAGATGAATGTGTAGGGTGGGGGAGAGTAGTAGTATAAAAGTGTAGAATTCTTACTTGAACAACTGGAATTCAATAGATTATCTTAGAAAACTGAAAGGAAGTAAGTAAATAAGGATGCTATCCAAATACACTGGAATAAAAAACAGAAAGAACATGAAGATTTTGCATATGATTGACTTGGGAGAGGAAATCAGGAGGTGAGGAAGACTACGTAAAAGATCTTGGTGTCAGCTTTGGCATAGAAATTATGGCTAAGCCGTCAAAAGCAACAACAACAAAACCAAAAACTGATAAGTGAGACCTAATTAAACAGCTTCTTCAAAGCAGGAGAAACTATCAAAGGAGTAAACAAACAATATACAGAATGGGAAGAAATATTTGCAAACTATGTATCTGACAAAAGTGTAATATCCAGAATCCATAAGGAACTTAAACAATTCAACAATCAGAAAACAGCCTCATTAAAAAGTGGGTAAACAACATGAACAGGCCACCTGTGAAAGAAGACATACATGCAGCATATATGAAAAAATGCTTATCATCACTAATCATCATAAAATGCAAATTAAAACCACAATAAGATCTCATACCAGTCAGAATGGCTAGTAATAAAAAGTCAAAAAAAAATGACAGGTGTTGGCAAGGTTTTGGAGAAAATGGAACACTAACATACTGCTGATGGAAGTGTAAATTAGTCCAGCCACTGTGGAAAGCAGTTTGTAGATTTCTCAAAGAATTGAGAGTTGAACTGCTATTCAATCCAGCAATCCCATTACTGGGTATATATTCAAAGAAAAATAAATTATTCTACCATAAGGACACATGCACCTGTATGTTCATCATAATGCTATTCACCATAGAAAAAAATGTGGAATCAACCCTAGTACCTATCAACAGTGTACTGGATAGAAAAAATGTGTTACATATATACCATGGAATACTATGCAGCCATAAAAAAGAATATAATCACATCCTTTGATGCAACATCGATGCAGCTGGAGACCATTATTCTAAGAGAACTTATGCAAAAACAGAAAACTAAACCCTGTACATTCTCACTTCTAAGTGCGAGCCAAACATAAGTTACACATGAACATAAAGATGAGAACAAAAGACACTGGGGACTACTAGATAGGGGAAGGGAGGAGGAGGGCAAGGGCTAAAAGTTTACCTATTGGGTACTATGCTTACTACATGGGTTTTGGGCTCAATTATACCCCAAACCTCAGCATCAAGCAATATATGTTTGTAATAAACCTGCCATGTACCTCCTTATTCTAAAGCAAAAACGAAAGTTAAAAATTAGCTATTAAAGGAGTAGTAATAGAATATATAAATTTAAAACAGTAGATAAGAGGAATAATTAAACATCATTTGATCCAATGGAAGTCTAGAAAAGATTCAAATGAAAAAGAAAAGCAAAAAAAAAAGCATGCTGAAGAACAAAATAACATTGCAAAAATAAAATATGTCTAAATATATATGTAAGGATCATCTGTAGAAGCTGGGATTGCATAGTGCCTGGAGTAAGGCTTCTGGATCCCAGCCAGGAGATGGGGAACCTGGGGCCATAAGAGGTGAAATGATGAGTTATCCAAGTCATGCAGCTAATTAAGTGGCAGAACTGGGATTAGAACTCAGGTTTCCTGCCTCCTAAGAATGTTAAAATCAACCTTTGGAAGCAAACCTCCAGTGCCTTCTTAAAGCATATCATCAGAAGACCAGTTGTGGTAAAATTAAATCCTGGAGTGAATTATTGAGGGGACCTGGCTTGCCTGGATGACTGCTCGAATATAGCCCTGAGAAGGCAGAGGAATATGTAAGTGGACAACCGAAGAGTAAGTATGGGTATGCATTTCTCTGAGGAAACAATGTGTCGCATATCAGTACACAGGAGAGAAGGATGTGAAGACAACTAGAGAGCCACACTTTTCAGAGCTGGATATATATTTACAGATTTTTTCCTATTTTTGGTTATTTTGTGATATAATTTGTCTTGTTTTATAATAGTTAATGATTTTTCACTTTTGTAAGATAAATGTATGATATTGTGGATTTAAATGTGAAGTGTTCTTTCACATTTAAGTTTTAGTCATTTTCTTTTGCCTCTGTGTCAGTGTATCGAATGTTAAAAGAATTTTAGAAGATTTTATATATATGACAGAGATACAGAATAAGAATTATTTAACATGGATTAATCTCACTTATTGAGAGGCAGAGGCTATCAAATTAAATTTTTAAAAAACAAATCCAGCTGTCTTCTGCTATAAGTGGTACTTTTAAAGCTAAACAGTGTAGAAAGATAAAAATAAAGATATGCAAGGAAATATATGAAGCATGACTAGCCAAAAGAAATATTACATATATAACTTGTAAAAAAGAAAGCTGGTATAGAAAGTTGACAATTTTAGATAAAATGAATTCCAGACCAAAAACAAAGAACAAGGCAAAGCCCCACAGTAACTGGGACAAAAAAAGAATGCTGCAACATGAAAAAAGAAACAACTAAAAATAAATAATAATTATGACCTGTATTACTAAAACATATAATCTTAATATATATAAAGCTGAAAGATTTACAATAGGAAATTCATACAACCACAGATCTGGAGACTTTAGTAGAACTCAATTATTAAGTGATGGTCTGAGCAGACAAAATGCTGGAAGTTTTTAACCCATAGAAAAACTCAAAATATTTAAAAAAATCTATTGTACAAAATAATTTTTCTGATAATGCCTAAAACTTTGAATATCAAATTAAAAGAAAATAAAGAGCAGTATGTGTTTTGATAGTTAAGAATGTGGAAAAACTTCTCTAAGTAACCTTTGGAGTAAAAAAGCTATCATGTTAGAAATTCAAAAAGATTTACAATTAATGGCAATTTTACTGCACAAGAAATCTATGGTATTCAGGAACATGGTACCTAGAAAATAATTATAGTTTTAAAATTATTTATTCATAAAACAAGAAAGACCCTGGGTGGGGGTGAGCTAAGTAAAGAAGCTTCTGGTAATAATAGTATAAATCTAAGTAGAATGATGATAAACCTAACAATGGATAAGATTTTGATTTTTACTAGTTCGCAGAAAAGCAGATAAACTTTTCAAGTGTTGATAGAGATAAGAAGAAAAAGTCACTCTCATTCACATGGTTGGTAGAAGTATATATTAACTTAATATTCCAGAAGGCTGTTTTATAATGTGTGTATTTTAAACCGGGTATTTCTTTGAGAATACTTTTCTGGAGGAATTTTATATTAAGGAAAAAAATCAGACAAGTATATGAAAATGAATCCTCCTTCCCAGATGAGGGCAAAGTGAAAAACGTAATGTCTAGTAAGAAAAAAAATTGGTCAGAGTCACTATATAAGATATAATACAATATTACTCAATCATTTAAAATGGTGACATATAGCTCTATTTATTGGCATGGAACTATGTGCAAGATGTATTGCGATATAAAAAACATCAGCTTATAGAATGATACACGTAGTTTCAATTTTGTCAAAAACCAAAACCAATATACACTCAATAGATAACATATTATTATATAAGAATTAAAGAGAAGTGGGAAATTGTACTGGCAAAAGTGCCTCTAATACTCATATCATTAGGAAAAATCAAACACATCAGCTTCACGGAATAACAAGCCCATTATAACTTGCAGGACTTTTTTCTTTCGTCACTTTTGTCATATACTCTCCCTTATGTTTATTTGCATTGATGTAAACTGGCTGGATACCTTAGCTATTTTTTGGCCCGGATGGTTAAAAACTGTTTTCAGAGACTTACTCCTTAAGACAGTCAGATAACCTGTATATTTTTTTATCTCAGGGCCTATGAAGTAATTTCTTTTTAATATCTACCACCAAACTCTTTGGGATGCTTCTTCTATGTTTCTGTATAGGTGTTTGTATAGCATTATTCCAGAGCAGAGCGTGGTTGCAGGGTAATTGATGACTTCAAAAATAGATTATAATTTACTTTGTTCATTGACTAATTTCTCCATACTGGACAGATGTGTTATTTGAAGTCACGGCTCATACAATACCTGAGTTCTGTACAAAACATATTACAGTATTAATATGGTGACTGAGAGACTGAATGAGTGAGCCAATATTTATTGGAGCCCCAATGTTGCTGATATTGTGTTCAATATATTCAAGTTGAAGAGAATGTTTTCAAATACACACATACACACACACACACACACACACACGCACACACACACACTATATTAACTGATTGATTCTGGGAATCCAAACTCTATGTACCTTGCAAATGGAATGCAGAAGTTCCTTTGAAATCTCTAAATTTTTTTTTTCATGAAAATTGTTTCGTGCAAAATCTGGTTGGGGCATATTGGCACGACACCAAAAGTCAAAGATGCTGAGAAGGCGTGAGCTGTGAAAGTTGTCTGTGCATGTTGGTGGGGCAGGGGTGAGGGTAGAAAAACAAACTTTGCTGAAGTATTAAAGAAAAAAATGTCAAACTATGAAACTTATGCTGTGGTTTACTGTCAGCCCCACTTCTTATATCACTGCAAATAATTGAGAATTAACCAACAGTATGCTACTAGTCCAGAAAGTTATTACATATGCCTAGGTAATTTCAGTCATATCTTTCCAAAATTAGATAAGATTTCTCTTGACGTCTATTTTGACCAACATAGTGGTTGAGCCCCCAAATTGAGTATAATTTTTAGTCATCCAAGTGTGGTTAAAATTAGTAAACACAACTGATAATTATCTTAAAGCAAAGAAAAAAAGTGGGTAAAAATTGAGATGAGAGACCTTTCTGCAGACAGTTCATGAAAAGTCACCACTTTATTAAGAGTCCTTCTCTCAATTCTCCTTGTCTTTTTCACCTGGAATGAAATGACTCACGTGAGGTTATTTCTGCTATGGCTTATCTTTATAGGCCCAAGTACCTAAAACATCTACCTACTATATCTTTTAAGATTTTAAAACTTTATACACAGTAAAATACTGACAACTTGGGGGTATCCTGTTGCCAGCAAAACCCCCAAGGAAGGTAATAGGCTGAACCTAAAGCAATAGGAAACCGGATGGAGATGCACGTTGCCAAGACACTATGGTGGAAGCAGCGTATACAGGCGCTAATCCTGGCCTATCAGCATCGTCATGGCTGGTCAGTAAACAGAGCACTGGGACAAGGTCTCGCTCTGCAACATCAAAGTGAAATCACAAAGAAGACTCCTAAAGCAACGGAGGAGTTTGCAGAGGACAAGAATAGTTATCTGTTCAATGAATATTGGCCAAAAGAATGAATGACAAGCATAGTTGTGATTATGTATATCCAGAAGGAAAAAAGAAAACCTCAAATGGAGTTGGATCTTAAAGTTGCAAGAGAATACTGAACCCAGTAGAGTGGTATCTGGCTATCAATGACGTGAAAATGATCAAACTTCTGTTTTCAAGCAGGCAAAAATAAGAAGAATGTCCTACCACCAGCTATCAGTGGCATATTGAACTGCCCGTTTATCAAGGGTCTCAGAGTCCTTGTTGGGAGGAAGCTGCTTGTTTGTTTGCTTGCGTGTTTCCGTCTTTCTCTTTCATCTCTGACAATGTTAGATGATGCTCAAATAACATTTGTCTTCTTTGCCCTGTGATATTTTCCATGTCTGAGGATTTCTGGCTAAAACTTTTGTTTTTTTTTTTTTTAACTTTAGTGGCTCTGGTGACTATAAGATACTCAGAGGAACAAAAAGCTATCATGAATCTCAGTAGAAATGGCCCTCAGTGGGGCATGTGTGTGGATCTTTAGGGCACAACAGAAACGGGAGGTATCTCAGGTAAGGGCAGGGAAGGGAACAGAGCCACAGAGACTCCATGTGTAAGATCGGGCTATCAATCATCAAAGGGGACCCATGGCAGAGAACGGGCTTCATGGCAGTCAGGAACATTGTAAAGAATCAACTTCACTTGGCACAAAGTGAATCTTGACGTTTTTCTGTTTCTTTCATTTTGTCCCAGTTTTAATTTAGATAACTTTATTTCCCTTCTTCAGGAAATTCAAAACAATAGAAAAATTGAGTTAGTAAGGAGGAAAAAAGTACCTTCAAAAGCAATTACTTCAGAAATTCTTTTCTTATAGTGGCCTAAGATTTTTTTTTTGAGTTTTTGTTTAATTAGGTTTTAAATCTTTCCTTTCTTAATTACTTCTTTTCTGGTATTAACACCTAAATATACTTCTATTCGAAGCACAAACATACAGTGATAACAATTAGCAGAATAATTACACTCTTTCTGTCAGTGTAACCTCATGGCACAGAAAGTATTACAAATCCATTTTAAAACATATTAAATGTTCATATTAATGAGGATAATAGAGAACAAGTACCAGCAAACTAAATATTGTTAATGATTTTGAGCTATTAAATTCATTACCATTTTCTTTCATAATAAAGTGGTTACTTGCTAATTAGACCTTTTTTAACTCATCATTATTGAATTCATTACATTGTGTGCAGTTAACCCTTGGAGGTCTGTGGGTGTGTGTGCACAATTAAAATCGTTTTAATACCATATTAAGGAGATATGGGGAATTCCTATGGCTTCGCAAATGGTCTTTCCATATACTTCCCTTGTGTACATTTCCTTGGCAGGATATGCTTGGAAGTTTCATGTCTGTCACTGCATTTTCACCAATACATAATATGGAAGCATCCTGAATTCATTAGGGCTATCACCATTAGTATTTAGAATAAAAGTGCATCCTACTTGTTTCATTATAAAAATTAGACACGTGTAAAAACTAAACCTAAGCAACTAAGCAAATACTTAAAATAGTTTTAGTGCAGCCTATGATGAAAGCGCATAAGGAAATTACCTACCAACTTAAGGTCAAAGAAAAATTAATATTGACCTATGGAAGAATTATAGTCTCAGAATTTTAGGATTTGTTGTTCTATTTAAATATACTACTGCTGTTTTGCCCATACCACTAACCTTGAATAGTCCGATACACACATGCACACACATACACACACACACACATATCATATATACACATAGGTATGCATGTGTTCACACACACACACTGATATTGACCTGCTACTTTCTTAGATATAGTCACATTAACCTAGCTACCTGCACTTTTTCCTGTTTTTTTCTTGTGATCATATATGTATATTTTGTCATGGCTGCTAGCCTTAGGAAGACAAGGATGACTAAGGACCAGATTTTTTTTTGCTCTATATGAGTATTTAGTGCTAAAATCTAAACTTTTATCTTAGTAGTGATGAGCTCAATTTGAAAACAAAGGTTCAGTGGGGTGGAGGGGGGTGGATCAGTGTATGAATGAGACAGGTATTAATCAGCAGACAATGATGCGCTGTGCGTGTGCGCATGCGCACACACAACCCAGATGGGCAAGGGATAGTGAGGAGCTTGGTGTTGGGGTGAGTGACAGGTAGAACATTGGCAATGTTTGCATACTTTGAGACATTGATCAGCAAAAAGAGGATAGAAGAAAGAGCTCACTATGGTAGCGTATCTCTAAGATGACTGCCATCAGTTCCTTCCTTTCCAGTACATACATGCCATTCTTCCATGGAGAAGTGGAATCTAATTCTCCTCTCCTCTTGAATCTGGGCTGGCATGAATTATGACTTGCTTCACCAACTCAATGCAGCTGAAACGTTCTTCATTTCCAAATCTAGGTCATAAGAAGATTCACCGTTTTCCCATTGTTTTCTTAGAACTCGAATTCTGGGATAAACCACCCTCCAAACAAGAAGTCTGACTACCTTGAGACCATAATCTGTAAGAAAGCCCAACCTCTTCATTTGATGAGGCTACTTGGAGAGAGCAATAACAAATCAGTCTTAACTTGTCTCAGCCAATTCAGCTCTGGTGCTGAGGAAAAAGCCTTCAGATTACCGTGGCCTCAGCTGCCCTCCCACTGAAACCATATGAAGGGCCCCAACTGAGAACCCCAGCCAGGCTTTCAGTGCCCAGACCTGAGAGAGAACAATAAATTGTTGCTTAAAACCAAAAAACAATAGATAACACAACATTAGATAGCCAGACATTGTGCATAGTCTAAGTGTAGACTTCAAACAACTTATTCTGGGGACTTAACCAATCTTCGTTTTCTTCTTTTGTAAATTTAAACAACAACAGCAAACAATTTGCAGAGGCACGGGGATTTCAGAACTCCAGCGGAATACCACTGAAATGCAATACAATGTGATTATGCCCTAGAGCACTTCATGCTCTGTGAATGGTGCCTTCTGAAGTTGTGAGGCCCAACAGTCCTATCGTGGCTAATATTTTTACAGAGCTGTACATTTAACAGGTAACATTGTCCTTGCATCTCATTTCCTTTCATGACAGGCACTGGTGGTACTTGGAACAAAAACCAAAAGGTCAAAGTGGACTAGCGATTTGCTCAAAGTCACACAGCTGGTAAGTTTCAGACCCCAGATATGGACCTAGGACCAAAGCACTTTCACTCTACAGTCCTAAGCGCTTGGCTGGAATGAAACAGAATTCTATGTGAGCCCTAGAGTTTTATTATCCTTCTCTCCTAGCTCTGATATTTAACAAATAGCTGAGCAACCTTGGACAGTCCCTTATTACGTCTCACTTTCTGTTTCCTTATCATTAAAATGAGCTTGTAATGCCTCCCTTAAATACAGTGAGATTAAAAATGTGAAGGCACAATGGAAACTTTAAAGCTTTTTACAAAGGTTGGATGATGATATTATTACTTCTTTCCACTTCTACTATGACCAGAAAATAGTTAGTTTTATTATAAAAAGTAAAGTCTAAGAGATGAATTAAATCAGAGAAGAGAGAGTTAGCATGATAAATAAACAGAGGAAATTTGTGGGTGAGAGGAAGAAATTAGAGGTATGTTTTGGAAGAAGTAAAAATCATTCGAGTAGGTTAATGATGACAGAGAAGGACAAGTCAGGAACATGCAGTAGTCATTGGGGAGGGATGTCTCAGAGGAAGCACTGTAGTATGATCTCTGAGCAGGTGCTTAGCAATGGAAGGGTAGTGGGTACTAAGAAAGAGTGTCAAAGAAGTGTGCTTCAAAAGGAGGACACAGAACATAGTCCATGACACTTAGCACATAAAAAAGTAGAATCCACTTCAATAGATCCTCTTTTACCCTGCGAGTGTCCTCTTCTCTTTCTTCCTACTCCATTAGACCCTACGCCTTCTTAAAAGCCACCACCCCTTCAAATGCCCTGCCAGGCATCTTCACACTGGGTTTCAGGGAAAAAATACTTAATCAAGACATTATTTTAGATGAAGTCTTGCACGGGAGCTAAACATACACATGCGTGAGTGCACACACACACACAACCACCATAGTCACCAGTTATGAGACTAAAATGAGTGATATCTTTGTCTCATGTTTTCATCTTTCCGAGAAGAAACTATGTCCATTTTGTTGACTTGTTTCACTTATTAAACCAATTTTTTATGACAATACGAGATATACTACATCTCATTCTAATAATATAACAACACATAAAAATTCTGATTAGAGGAAAGAACAAGTTTTACTCTGCACCCTGCAGAGCTAATAAGTAAAACTATATACTCTCATAAGTAAAAACTGTCATATTCTATGTTTATAATGTGTGGAGAATTAAGAGTAAAAGTTAATGTAATTAATAGCCTCTTTTCTCTATTTGCTTTTTTTTTTTCCTTAAAGAACTGAAGCATAGAAAATATGTAAGTAAAGACTTGGATTTTGCAAATCAATATACTGAAAGAATGTAGGTCGGGTTGCTAGTCTTCTGAACGTGCTAAATGTCTCTCAAAATTACTTTTTAAAGGATCTGGGGCATGAGTTCTGTCCCTCTGTGCCTGCCCTGATAAAAGGTTATCAACTCTGAATCAAGATGGCTGACTGAACAAACGACTTTCTTCTCTTCTCTCCTCAAATCCCATCGAAATGACAAAAGAAATATAAAAATAAATCTATACCAGTTGTAGGAAGCCCACCAGGGTCCTAGATGAGTGATCAGTTAGGAAATCTGGAAGATATTTAGCAGATGGAAACTGATAGACCACAAAAGGCCCCTAACTATAGGAAATATACAACCCCCACAGATGAAAAAAAGGATCTCCAAGAACGATTTTTTTTTTCCAGTTTTATCTCCAACAAAGTTTGAGATTAGAGACAGTTGTGGCAAAAGAAGGAGCAGGTTTGGTAACTTATTACAGGGCAAACAGCTATTCTTAGAGAAACTTTTAAAGTTGGATTTCTTGCCTGGGAAGAGGATTATCCGGGCATCTCAGCTCTGTTAATTAACGAGTAGTCATGAAGAGGTCAAGACTTTGAGTTCTGGCCTCAGTCAACTTGTGTTTGTTTCTTTTTTCATTCATTGAACAATTTGGCACCACCAGATATTGTGCATAAACTACAGGAACCAAAATATTTTCCAGTCTATATGCGCTGACCCAAATCATGTTACCAGTTTAATCTGCCACTTCTCCTGTTTGGCGTTCATCGCATGAGCGAGACTGGTATGGCTTGGAGTGGGATATGTGTGCCCCACTTCATCTCAGAAGAACAGAATGTCACCACATAGAGCTGCTGAAGGCACACCAGCAGATGCAGACACAACTGTGATCTTAGATTTGTTTAATGTGTGTGTTCAAACAGCTAACAAGTCAGTTTTAGAAACATAAATTTTGACTAGCTAAAGATTTCAGAGGCAATCTGAACTTTGAAGGGAACAGGATGGTAGGATAGGAAGAAAGGATCTGCTGTTTAGCTGGTGGATATATAATTCAAGAACAAATTTAGCTGAGAAGTTATCAACACAGCAAAATAGAAAAACAGGTGTGTCCAGTGCCTTGGATTAAACATGTCTTTGTTCTACTGGAAGTTCAAATTATATGCATAATAGGGCTGAATTTATTAAAACATGCATAACCAAAAAAATTGACAATGAAGTCTTTCCTATCAAAAGTTATCACTGGGGGGAGTTTACTTTCATTCCAACTCTCATAGTTTCTCCCCCTCCCCCCCAAAAAATGTGTAGTATTTTAGATTAGCCTTCAGAGCTCAGGGCATATATCTATTTACACATATTCAAGTGTGACACTTTTTTTCTTTTTAGAGTAAATTTGATTTCTTCATGTTGCCAAAAAGCATTTAGCTAAAAGTCTGGCAAATAAGATGGTTGGTTAAGCTGGTAGTAATACTTTTGGTCAAAAATAAGACTGCTTGTGCATGTGGCTTGTAAACCAATTAAAAAGGAAAAGATTACTGCTTAATAACCACCTCTTACTCATGATTACCAATGTTGCAGATGTTCCAATTGCCACTCACATTTCATAGTGAGTGTGAATGATCAAGAAGAAATGAAGAATGATCAAATGGATAAGAGGACACAGTAATAAAATTACCTTTATAATCAGGAGCTGGAAGAACCATCCGACATTATTATTAAAGTACAGAATTGCATGAAGTCAAGCATCTTAATGATTGAGTCTTAGAGCTATATGATATTTGAATAAAATCATGGAACTCACATCACCCCATCCCCCCACTTCCAATCTCTCAGCACTGTTTGTGAAAAGGAATGTCATTCCAGTGTTCCATCAAAAATTTGGGACACAATAATTCTCTCTCCCCTGCACTCTATCATCTCTCCACTTTTCACACACACATACATGCACACACACACTCCTTACAGACATACACACATTTCTGCCAGTTACTCTTTTTGTCTTTTATTTCTTGTCCATAAAGAAAAAACAAACTTAGTCTTCTTCTTTTATTCCCTATTGTCTGTTTCCTATTCCAGTAAATTTACTCCATTTAAATCGAACGTCCCATTTGAGATATTTAATGTGTAATTTCAAACAGCCATTTTTGCCTTTGGTTCTTGAAGCCCAGATAGTCTGTTTGGGGAGGCAAATTATGCCCCTTTACAAAACATGCAGATGGAAACAACGTATTTCAATTTTTGTCTTTTTTTTTCTAAATATTTTAGTCAATAAGGGCTTGCAAATCAAGTTCAAGGTTCTTTGTTGCTTTGTGTTTCCAAAGATTTATCCAAATGCACATCATCTTTGTATGTAGTTTTGGGGTTTTGTTTGTTTGCTTGTTTTGCTCCATGATAAAATCTTCAGGTGAGGGGGCAGGCAATCCTGGAGGATAATCTGAGATTCTGGCGCTTATGCTTGGTATTTTTAAGGTCTTTTCAAGTTTCTGTAAATTCCTTCATTCTTTTAAAACTAGCCACTACATTTGAAAAGATTCACCTCTCTGAGAAGGGTGATGCCTCTCTAAAAGATTCTACAAAAGTAGTTTACTTCTTCCTGGGACCTTCCATCCAGCAGTCCTTCTATAGAGTGGACAACAGTCAAGGGGGAGAAATAAGGTGAACCGGGTAGATAGTCACTTGCTACAAATACCTAGCTAGCTCTCTAGGGCTACTGCTAAGGGCTTGTCTCTGCTACAAGAACATATTCAGCAAGTGTTAATCTGACTACACATCCTAGTGAGAGGGGATTTATATGGGCAATTCCTTCTGTGCAACATTATAAACACAGCCTATTATCTCCTGACTTTCCAATTCCTAGTTCTTTTTTTTCTAATGAATGATTCATGTATTAATAATGGTAAAAATAATACTTTGCAATTATAGTATGCTCTTTTTCTCTCCAGGGTGCTCAGTGGACATTAAGTACATAATCATTTTTTCATTCCGACTGTCCTGGGGGGTGGTTGGGAGGCATACCACTGAGGATATCAGCTTTATATTATCCTTGCTCTGCAAACACACATTTTTGTGCAAATGCCAATTTTCTGCATTCTTTAGGAGAAGGAATCTAAGATGGTTCCTCATTGCCAGGTACCAGAAAACTGAGGCAGTGTATATTGTTCAAGCTCATTGAATTTTTAGGGTGACAGGTACCTGGGGCTGACCAGTTCAGTCTCTACTGCTGGCTGTTCCTCTACCTACTATGTAAACGCTACAGTGTCTTGGGCTTCAATTCGGCTTCATCCTCTTTCTTGTCTTTCTGTACTCTCTTTTGATCATGTCATCCATTAACAAAGCCTTAAATGCCATCTCTATACTAATTATTCCCAAGTTAATATACTCTAGTTTTCATTTCTCCTGGCTCATAATGTTTGGCTTCCAGATTGACCTCTCATCTTGCACATGAATTGAGCATCTCTGAATTTACAAATTTGACTCTCCCACACACCTCCCACTCCCACATCTACTCAGTTCTTTCCCTAGTGTTCCCTGCCTTAGAAAAAGGTATTGCTATGGTCTAAATGTTTGTGTACCACCCCCCACACACAAATTCATATGTTAAAATCCTAAACTCAATGATGATGGCATTAGGTGGTGGGGTCTTTGGGAAGTGATTAGGCCATAAGAGTGGAAGCCTCATGAATGGAAGTAGTGCCCTTGTAAAAGAGGCCCCAGAGAGCTGCCTTGCCCCTTCCACTATGTGAGAATGTGGGGAGAAGGTATCATCTTCCATGAACCAGGAAACAGGCCATCATCAGACACCAAATCTGCTGGGACTTTGATCTTGGACTCCCAGTCCCCACACTGTGAGAAATACATATCTGTTGTCTATAAGCTACCCAGTTTATGATACTTTGTCATAGCAGCCCAAATGGACTGATGGGTACCAATATCTGCCTAACTTAGGAGTCTCCTTAGCTCTTCCCTTTCCTTCACCTTCCTGATGTTTTCCCCATCAAGAAGTTCTATCAGTTCTGCTTCCATGGCCCTGCCCACCACTCCTACTGTGACTTATGCCACCATCTTTTGCCTGGAATACTTGAGACATCTCCTAACTGGCCTCCCTGATCCATTCTTGACACTCTGCAAACCATTTTCATAGCAACTACAGGAAATGTTCAAAGTTTGGAAATTTTTCAAAGTGACTCTCCTCTTAAAACACCTCACCCACCTACTTGATTTCCATGGAACCTAGAAGAACATGGGCTTTGAGGACTGCCAAGCCCAGAGTGGGCAGGCCCTGCCCCTCTCTGACCTCAACTCATGCCACCCTGTCCCTGCTCACTCTGCTCAAGCCACACTGCCCACCTTTTGTCTCTGCAACAAAGCAGTCTGATTCATACCTCAAAGCACCTCACCTTCTCTTCCCTCTCCTGGGAATCTTAATCTCCACATCTTCATAGTAATGCCTTTTTCTCATGTTCTGATTTTTTTTAATTCCAAATATCACCTCATGAAGACTTTCTGGATGACCTCCTCTAATTAGTCCCACTTTCCTGTGTACTCTCTTTCATACCAACCTGTTTATTTCATTTTGATTCTTTCTGTCTAACGTAGTTTAATTTTGTTCCATCTGTCTTCCTTCACAATCCCCTGTGATCTTTTGCATCTTTGTTATCTTTCTGTTTTCATCTTCTCAAACACTGTATGCCTCACACTAAGTTGTCAACAAATATTAACTAAATACTGATTGAATAAATGCATGAATGAATGAATGAATGCAGGTGATGGTGAAAAATACTCGCTATTCCAACACAGGAGATTGACCTCATTCCATCTGTGCTCCTTTATGTGGAGTATGACTGGGAAGTGGGGGTGAGACTAGAGGCCAGGAGAACAATTTGAAAACTATTATTGTACTAATCCAGGTAACCAGTGGGGAGGACTTGGGTTAAGGCAACATTGACAGACATGAAGAGGAGGTAAAAGAGACAGATAGGAGGTGAATTGACAGGATCTTAGGAGGAGGCAGAGAGAAGACAGTGAAGGATTAGGTCCAGGTTTCATTTTTGCTTGTTTGGTTTTATTGTTGTTTTTGAGATGGGGTCTTGCTCTGTCACCCAGGCTGGAGTGCAGTGGTGCGATCATGGCTCACTACAGCCTTGATCACCCGGGCTCAAGAGATCCTCCCTTCTCAGCCTCCCAAGCAGCTAAGACTACAAGGCACATGCCACTATGTTCAGCTAATATTTTATTTTATTTATTTATTTATTGTAAAGATGAGGTCTATGCTGCCCATGCTGGTCTTGAACTTCTGGGCTCAAGTGATCCTCCTGTTCAAGTGATCCTCCTGCCTTGGCCTCTCAATGCTGGGATTATAGGCATGGAGCATGGCACCTGGCCTAGGTCTAGGTTTCTAATGTAGCAACCTGAGTGGATGATGACATTCTTGACTAAATTTGAAAATCAATAGAAGCACCAAAAAATTTGTAATTGATAAAATTTGGGGGAGTCTGACTAGACTATGAAAATCTTTCTTCCCTTTGAATTGGCTCCCTCTCACAAAGATGGTCCCCTAGTTAACTGTATTTTTTATGTAACCAGGTCCCTTAGCCTTACCCAGTTGATTCTGGGATGGTCATCTATTCCAATTTGAGCCAATCGGATTCTCCTTGGAATTTGGAATTGGAACTGATAAATACCTAGTCAGTCTCTGGATGTGGCTAATATTGAGGTAACACAAATTTTCAAACCGTGGAGCTGTCCCCTCTAAGAAGCAAACAGGAAGTCAGTTTAGGCAGCTCGGCAGAGAGAAACAGGAAGGAGATGCTGACAGAGAACACGAGCTGCCTGCATTTGCCAGAACTGTTTAGTTTCCACATAAAATACTCCAGAAGACTCACTGCCTTTGATTTCACAGAGATACTCCAGAATCCAGCATTCTTCCAACCATTTCCCTTTTCTCTAATTAACTTGTTTTCTTAAACTTGGCATTCAATAAAAATATAATATCTAAGAATGTATATATACATATATTAATACATATAAAAATATAACTCCACTGATAATTTCTTATATATTTTCTCATAAATAAGTAATTGAAATAATTCAGTCCCCTTGCCCTGAGTACTCTATGTCAATCAATACATTCTCACCCAGACAATGTGTCCCAGACTCTGACATGTGCTGAGGACAATTCAAAAACAGTATAACATTTGGTTCCTGCCACAGAAAGCATAACAAAATGTTTGACACCTGAAAAGTTAAATCCTGTGAGTTTAATAATGATATAATACAGAAGATGTCACAAGGCAGTGCTATACATGATTAATCGACAAACAGTTCACACAATAACACTATGTGAGTTCAGAGGCTGAAGAGAGCTGAGGGCTGGGCGGACAGGGAAACTTCAATACGGAGTGAGGACAGAGGTTGGAGCTTGAAGAATGATTAGGGTTTGCACAGCCAGACAGCAGTAAGGAGTAAGTGAGAAGCTCTCCATTTTGAGAATGACCATGAACAAAAGCAGTCAGGTAGGGAAATATTTAGAGCCCAGATGCACAAGATCTGAGAAGGATGCTTGATGGATAGAAGGGACAATAAAGAATGCTCTAGTCTGCAGAAAATAATTTAGCATTTTATCTCAAAGGGAAAATGCTCTTTGGCTTCCCAAAGAAAAGACTTTACACCACTCTGTATCATTTTACACCAATCTCTTTTCTACCTGCCTGCCTTTAAGTTCACCTTGGCCAAAGGGGCACTTACTCCAATGTCAGCAACTGGTGGAGCTGCTAGGCCAACAATCAGACCCTTGAAAGTTTTGCTTCTGTTGCATTCTGTGGAACTACCAATCCAAGAAAACTCCCCAACTGAGGAGCGTGCAGATAGGAAAATGTGCTGGACTCTCTGCGGCAGGAATGAACAGCTTGGAGAACAGGAAGGAATGAGCTGGGGACTTGGCAGCTCAGCCACAGCCAGGGTAAACGGATTGAGAATGTGAGCCATGTGGAGTACATCAGGGCCAACGTGGCTAAATCTGTGCTGGCCTGTGTCTGACCCTGAAAGAAGGAAATCTTCGTAAGCCGAGGACCAGCTCAGCTCCCTGACACATGTGTAAGCAATACCACCCCCACCTGCTCCTTCACACATAGGGTCAGGATTCTCCCTAACAGAACGCAGATGGGAGAGTCTCCATTTGCCCAGCCAGGACACACCAGCTTGGGCCCCAGCTTCCTCTTCTGAAACAGTAACACATTTCATAATGAATCTTTTAAGACACCAATTGTAAATACAAACAAACTTCAAATCCTGCTCTACTGCTGGAAGCTCGTACAATTAAAATGAAAGGAGAAAAAGAACCCTAATCCTTTGAGATGGATGTTCCAATTCCTGCTCCCCATGCATAATACTAATTTGCTTTTTATTTTATTTCTACTTTTGCACCTACTGTTGGAAGAGAAGTTTCCAGTCTTTAGGTGCATTTATTCAAACAACCAATCTCCAATATGTAAAGATCTGTTTTGTCAGCATTTTTCTCCTCTCAGATACTTAGGTCATATTTTAAAGGAACTTAAGCCACACAATCACAAACTGTCCATGTCTTGTCCAGACATCAGCATCACTATTTCCATATGAATCTAGGTCAAGGCAATAGCAAAATGTTAAAAACCCGGCATACCAGGAAGAAAGGAAACAGCCATGGGAGGGCTCAAATTCATCTCATGGTTCAGTTCTACTGTGTCACACAGAGAAATTCAGACCTGAACACACAAAATCAGTCCTTGCTATGATAGGGCCAGCATTTAAGAAACACACAGACTGAAAAGTCCAAATTCAAATTAAATTCTACTCTCCAAAATGCCATAAGTCTTTTTTCTCTCCTCTTTACACCCATTTACACACAGAGAGGGGGAAATAAAGAAAGAGACTTAGGCAAAGCTTGTTAGCACGTAAAAATCAATGAAGCTGCAAAGTCTGTTCTATACAATGAAAAATTAATACAAGCTAATTAATTTTGAACTTTAATTAATTCATATTTGTAAAGC
This sequence comes from Homo sapiens, assembly GCF_000001405.40. Classification (NCBI taxonomy): domain Eukaryota; kingdom Metazoa; phylum Chordata; class Mammalia; order Primates; family Hominidae; genus Homo; species Homo sapiens. The sequence continues at coordinate 59,530,972 of NC_000002.12, forward strand.
ACTTTGAGATTCTTAAATGAAAGATGGCATAAATGTATTTGGGTATTGTTTTATGATGTCGTTCTGGCCTGCTGAGTTTAGGTGCCACATATGGATATTATTAACACCAAGAATAGTAACTACTATCAATAAAGAACCTCAGATAAACTAGGATTGTTTATAAGTTTCTAAATATCAGTTACATTCTGCAGAATACAGTCATTGCAGAGTGGTAGCTGGGGGCATTCTACTATGCCCAGATGGGAACGAACTTATGATAATACCTAAGTCCTTTTGAACTCATGGGAAAATTGTTAGTACAAGAACCACTCCAAATTAATTGCTAACTAATCCCATTCTATATTTCTGCTCCAGCTAAACAAAATTATTCTTGTTTCAAATATAATGCCCTACATGTTCTTACCTGTGTACCTTTGTTCGGCTTTTTCCCACATCAGTAGTGACCTTGATCCCATCTCCCCTTATCTAAATCTTGTCCATTCTCTACCATCCTTCTAAAGTGTCACCCTTCCGTGAAGCATTCCTCAAACTCCAGAAGTTCTGATTCTTCAGCTTCTTAAAGTCCTTTAACTCTACATTTATGCAATTCTTTTTTTTTTTTTTTTTTTTTTTTTTTTTTTGAGACAGAGTCTCACTCTGTCACTATGCTGGAGTGCAGTGGCGTGATCTCGGCTCACTGCAATCTCCGTCTCCCGGGTTCAAGCGATTCTCCTGCCTCAGCTTCCAGAGTAGCTAGGATTATGGGTGTGTGCCACCACACTCAGCTAATTTTTGTATTTTTAGTAGACACGGGGTTTCACCATGTTGGCCAGGATGGTCTCAATTTCCTGACCTCGTGATCCGCCCACCTCAGCCTCCAAAGTGCTGGGATTACAGGCGTGAGCCACTGCTCCCGGCCCCATTTATGGAATTCTTAAGAAATGTAGTCTATCAATCAGGATGGCTATGGTTATGCAGCAGTAACTCAAAATCCTTATAACTAAAAATGTTTCCTTTTTGCTTATAGCAGGTGAGCAAGGGAGATGAAATAATCTGCCTAAGGTAGAACCTGTAAGTCATCAATGCAAAACTTGCCCTGATTAGTATTAGTACTTTGGAGAATATTCTGTATTGACCAAATACAAGAAGTGTAACTAAAAAACTGATTCTTCAAGTTCAATTTCTCTGAGTTTAGAATTGGCAAGATCTTTCTTTCTCCTTGAAGAACATTTTCTTTTTTTGCTCCTTTGCTTCCCTTTATTGTTATCATTTTTCAATTTAATGATAGAGACTAAAACATAGTTTCCCTTTTAAATGAAAGAAAAATAATGAAGGTAAGAATGGCCCAAACTCCTAAAAAATCATGTTATTTGAATTCTTAAAATTTCATATGTAAATTACTTTTCATAGCACTAAAACTTTTATACTTAGAAAATACACCTTACCAAGTTGACATGTAAAACTAGCTCTCTCTGTAGATTAATGGAAGTAAGTGGCAAGTGAATTTATTTTGTATGTTTGTTTTTCTAAATTTACATTTCAGCGATTTTTAAAAAATAACTACCAATGTAACACTTGATCATTGCACATTATTATGTAAAAAACCCCAGAAATTCATAAAGAAGGAAACCAGTCCTTTGTAATCCTGCTATGCAGTGATACCTTTCTGTGCCCTCACATGCCCTTTTCTTTGCAGGATCACATTCCTGGTGTCCCCTTTTCTTCTTATAAGGACAGCAGTACTATTTGATTAGAGTCCCATCTTATTGGCCTCATTTTAAATTAATCACTTCTTTGAAGACCCTATTTCCAAATATAGTTATATATATTAGGGCTCAGGCATGTGACCTCATTTAATTAATTATCTGTTTAAAGGCCTTGTCTCCAAATGTGATCACATTCTAAGTTACTGGGTATTAAGGCTTCAATATATAAATTTTGGGGAAATGCAATTCAGTCCATAGCAACACTAATACAGACCATTTCCACAAATAAAAGTGATGCTAAGATTTTATATAATGTATCTGGTATAAGATGTATTATAGGTTGGTGCAAATGTAATTGCGGTTTTTGCCATTGAAAGTAATGGCAAAAACCGCATTTACGTTTGCACTAACCTAATATATTCTTTTTAACTGTAACCACTATCTGATTTCAGAAACTCCTTTTTATGGAATTTCTCCTTCCCTCCTATCCTTCTTTCCTCTCCCTTGCCCTCTTTTATATTTATTTATTTATTTATTTTTGAGACAGAGTCTTGCCCTGTCGCCCAGGCTGGAGTGCAATGGCACAATCTTAGCTCACTGCGACCTCCGCCTCTTGGGTTCAAGCAATTCTCCTTGCCCCAGCCTTCTGAGTAGCTGTGATTACAGATGCCCAGCACCATACCAGACTAATTTTTGTATTTTTAGTAGAGACAGGGTTTTGCCATGTTGGCCAGGCTGGTCTCGAACTCCTAACCTCAGGCAATCCGCTGGCCTCGGCTTCCTAAACTTCTGGGATTACAGGTGTGTGCCACCACGCCCGGCCCCATGCCTCCTTTTATTCAGTAGAATCTAAATTAAAACAATAACAACAAATAGAAAGTATAATACATGAGATGACACCTCCCATTTTACAGAAGTGAAGAAATGAAAACAGAGAGACTCACAGAGATTTGAAGTACCTTTTGCCCAAGCTGGCATGAGGAGCCTCTCTCGGGGCTGCTGCCTAAGGATGGGGAAACTGGAGGAGGACAGCAAGCAAGCACAATGGGGGCACATGCTAGTTCTGGCGGCCCCACAACTGGAAATATAGCTGTGTCAGACTACACCAATCATAGTAAAAAAACCAGTGACATTTCTGGAACCCAAATCCATACCTTTGCCCCAAGGAGAGCCCAAGGCTTCTCATGAGTGCTCTTCGCACGGTCATTTTCTTGCTCATCTCTTAGAGGTCTTGTCTTGGACCAAAGGCACCCCCAAAAGTTGTTCAGTCTCTTTACTGACATCCGTCCCCAAGGCTATACAGAATAGCTCCATTGTTTCAGTATTAATTTGGGGGTACTCTTTTTTTCTGCTCAAATAGGCATCACATCAAAGTGAGGAAAAATACACTCTCCCTAAACACCTTATGTTAGCAAATCATGAACAGAGGTGCTGGAGCCCTCAGATTCTTACAGATGTAATTCCACATTTGACTGGCTTTTGACAGCCACTACCACCAGGGTTCTAACAAAGTTCCTAGGAGTTTGGACTCAACGACAAAACATTGCGTGATACTGCACAATACCAGGATCCAAATTAAGTCTGTCTTCTAGCCAGCTACTCCCCCTCTTTCAAATCCCCACAGGTAGTTTTCTTCCCCATAAATTATGCTGTTAGAGAAGCTCAGGGCTGGTTCTCATTCCCTAGATTCTCAGTATCTTGGTCTCATGATGAGTTGTTGCATCTAATTATTATTCTCCCTGAGATTATTAGGGACTATGCCAACAGAATCATTTGCATCCCTGGAAACATGCCAATATATATCCGAAGTTGCAATGAGCATGAAGTTTAGGGCATTATTGGAATTCTGCTACATAAAGCCATTTGACAGGTCTTATGTGCCCCAGTATGAGGATAAGTACTCTCATTCTAGAAAGTGGTGGCTCTCCACAAAAATCCAAGGAAAGTGACAAAACTGCACAAAATGCTGTCTCTTGAAACCTAGCCTCGGATATGTTGGGAGGTTAAATTATCCATCCAGAGATTAATACACAGGACTTGTGAAATGTCTAACACTAAGAGTGATTGGTGAAACACCAAACACATCAAAATATGATCTCAAAGTGCTCTCTTTGCACAAATTTCCTGCTTATATTTTAACTGGTTTCAAAACTTCACTCTACTTATTATCCTCCCTATATGATTTAGACTGAAGGCCCCCACCAGCCATAAACACAATCTCCAAATACTCCTATTATCTCCTCTCCATGTCTCTGGCTCATACCCTAGAGCAAACTCAGCCACTACCTCAGTGGCTGGTTGATAGTAGGTGCTCAATTATATTTCTAGAATGAATAAACATGAAAGCAAGAGAAAGTCAGGTCCAGAATATATGACACCTTTCTATCTTGAAGTACAATCAATGAGAAGATGTATGCTGGCCAGCTAACAGTGTAAAGTGAATGGGGTTTTCAATCTACCCAACTCCCACTAGAGTTAAAAAGGCATCTTAGTTTCCAATTGTATCTTCAGTTAGGGGTTATGAATTGAGGTGGACTGGAGTCCCCTAAAAGTCACATCCTTCACCTTGTTCTAAGGTACATCTGAGCTGCTGTGGGTGGGGTTGGAGGCTGGAGGAGCGGGGGCCGGGTTGTGGGGGGACAATGCGGAGGCGGGTCTCCACCACCTTTCCCTTTCCCCGTTGAGCCCTGGAAGGAGGGTTGTCGGCATAGGTGTCATGAACCCTTTGATTCACAGCTTTCTCATCTAGCTGCACAATGCTTTGGTGCCTTAATAAGATTCAGCTGAAAAGAGACTTCTTCACAAATTGAAAGAGAAAATCTGTTTGGACATTTTTAAGGGAAATGGGGAAAAAAACCTCTGGGCTTTTTTGCATTCTTTTTTCTTTTAAAGTTGTTTCTGTCTCTTAGCAGCTCTCCACCTTTATGTTCGTGACAACTAACTAGATCTTGGGGAAATAAAACAAACGAAATAATGAGAAAATATTTATGTTTTAGATTCATGGGTTTGAAGGTCCAACTAGGACCCCACCCAACTGATGTTTTTTAGCATGGTATTTTTGTTTAATTAGTAATTCTAGGCATAAGTTAACAGTCTCTTATTGCCGTTAAAGAAATTTCATTTAAAGATTGTGTGTTTTTAACCTTTACTTTTTATTGAGGTGTGATTTACACATAATAAAAGACAAAGATTTCAACCCTTCAATTCTATGCATTTGACAACTTCATAAATCCATAAAACTCAACCAAAATAAGATACAGAACACACCTATCAGCACTTCCCATCCCTTTCTAGTCAATTTCCTCTAACCCTAATGGGGAACTTTCTTATTTCTGTCACTTTATATTAGTTTTGCCTGGTCCTGATCTAATTAAAATGTAATATATTATGTATTCCTCTATATTTGGCTTTTGTTCAATATGTTTTAGAAATTCATCTACTTGTATCAATATGCTCATTTTAATAACTAAGTAGTATTCTATTGTGCAGATATACCACAATTTATTCTCCTGTTGAATATAGTGGGTTGTTCAGATTTTAGTAGTTATCAATGAGGCTGTTGTGGACATTCTTGCATGAGCCTTTTCTGTGGAACATCTGTCTATAATTCTCTTGGGTAAGTACCTATGAGTGAAATTGGTGAGCTGGAAGGAAGTTATATATTTAGCTTTTAAAAAACCCTACCAAAACAACTTTTCAAAGTGGTTTTACCATTTTATGCTTCCATCAGCATTGTATGAGCATTCCAGTTGCTCCACATCCTTGAAGCTCTTGGTATGGCTATTATTTCTCATTATAAAAAACCCATCTCAAAAGATGTAAAATTGTGCATTATTAATGTGTTAATTTGTTTAATTTATATTTTTATAATGACTAATGATATTGAGCAACTTTTTATTTATTGACCACTTGTGTATATCCCTTTGTAAAATGTCTGTTCAAATTGTTTGCCACTTCTTAATTAGGATATTTGTCTTCTTATTGTATAATTTTTGGAGTTTTTATACATTCTGAATGAGGTTCTCATTAATGTATATGTTTAGGGATATTAAGTTTGTGGCTTGTGATTCATTTTCTTAATGGTCTATATATTCAAAGAAAGGTTTTAATTTTGTTAAGGTACAATTTCTAATTTTTGCCTTTTATAGTTTTTGTTTGTTCTCTTATGTTTAAATATTTTTTGCCTAACCCAAGGTCATGAATATATTTTCCTATTCACTTTTTGAAGCTTTATAGTCTTGCCTTTTACATTTAGAACCACAACTTATCTCAATTTAGCTTTTGTGTATGGGTGAGACAAGGGTCTAGGTTCTATTTATGCCCATATAGATATGCAGTTTCTCCAGCACATTTCTTTTGATGTCATCTATCCTGTATTTAAGACTTTTATTTTGAGATATACAGTCACATAATTGTCCACATATGGGATAATATAGAGAGCTCCCATATATCCTTTGCCACATTTTCCCCATTGCTCATATCTTGCAAAGCTGTAGTACAGTATCACAACCAAAATACTGACACTGATACAGTCAAGATTCAGAATATTTCCATCACCACAAGATCCCTCATATTGCCCTTTCAGAGCCACACTTATCTCCCTCTAACACCCTTAACCACTGGCAAGCACTTATCTGTTCTTCATTTCTACAACTTTGTCATTTCAGGAATAATATATAAGTGAAGTCATACAGTACGTAATCTTTGAGGATAGACTTCCATAGTATGGGTGTACCACAGTTTGTGTAATCGTTCACCTTTTGCCAAACATATGGGTTATTTCCAGTTTTTGAGTATTACGAATAAAATTATTATAACATTTGTGTACAGGTTCTTGTGTGAATATAAGTTTTTGTTTCTCTGGGATACATGCCCAGTTGTTTGGTAGTTGCTTGTTTAGATATTTAAGTAAGTACCAAACAGTTTTCCACAGTAGCTGTAATATTTTGTATTCCTGTGAGCAACGTATGCATGATCCAGGTCCTCTACATCTTCTCCAGCACTTGGTGTTGTATTTTTTATTTTAGACATTAGACAGATATATAGTGATGTTTCACTGTGGTTTTAATTTATATTTCCATAATGGCTGATAATGTTTAACATATTTTATGTGTTTATTTGCTTATTTGACATCTGTACATTCTCTTCTGTGAAATGTCTCTTCATGTCTTGTATCAATTTCCTAATTGGTCTGTTTGTTTTACTGGTGGTTTTTGAGAATTCTTTATGTATTCTAGCAGTAAGTCCTTTGTTGGACATATGGTTTGAGGGTATTTTCTCCCAGTCTGAACCTATAATTTTTATCCTCTTACCATGGTCTTATTCAGAATAAAATAAAGTCCAGGTTTGTAAGTTTTTGTTTTGCCTTTTGTGGATTTTGTTTTAGTGGCAAGTATAAAATTATTCTGCCTAGCATGAGATCCCAAAGGTTTTCTTCCACTTTTAGAAAAATTTTTAGAGTTTTACATTTTTAAGTTCATGATATATTTTTGAGGGTTTTTTGCATAATGTGTGAGAATTAGGTCAAGGTTTATTTATTTATTTGTTTTGCCCATGGATATCCAATTCCTTCAGCACTGCTTGTCAAAACAACTATCTTCCCTCTATTAAATTATTTGCACCTTTATAAAAAATCAATTAAGAGTTGAAGTCTGTGGACCTGGTGGCATAGGAACCTCTAAAAGTTCTCTCCTTCATTAAAGCAATAAAGACACTGGTGAAAAATTATCGAAATCAACTCTCTCAGTACTCTGGAAGTTAACCAAAAGCTTGCAATAATTCCTAGGCATTATTTAAAGAAAAGTGGCTGAATCTCGGTAAGCCCAGCACACTTCATGGTGTTTTTAATTGCCTGATTTCTGCCTCCCTCTCCCCAGCTGTGCTGTAGCCTTGAAACACAAAAGCTTACAATCATGATGAAACCAGCACACTAGTAGTAACTGATGAGTACAGAATAGGATTGGAGCTTTTCCAAAGCCCTATTTCCAACTTGTAGTGTTTGAAAAGCAACAATTCATCTTGTATAATATGTGGTGATAGCAACATCATGACTATTTCCCAAGGGCCTGCTCTGTGTTAGTCTCCGAAGAGACATAAATGAGAAGCCTCTGCTATGTTCTGCAAAGGAATTTGCTGTCTTCAGTGGTTCAGGGAGAGACAGACATATTTAAAATCATGTGTTCAGTCTCACCTCTCTTTTCTTTACATTCTCTACATTTTCCCAAGGCAATCATATGATGGGCACATCAGATGATTTCAACTTTCATCTAGATTTTAAGGACTATAAAATCTGTAAGCTTTGGCAACATTTTCCTCTTAGAATTCCAGCCCCGTATATCCAACTGAATAGCAGATAGCAGTAGCTGAGTTTCCCCACAGAGAACTTCAATGCAATGTGTCCAAAGCTGAAGTCATCATCTTTCCTTCCCAAATCTGCTTTCCTTCTGCAGGCCCTATCTTGGTACATGTATTTCCTCAAACTAAGCTTTCTAAAATTTCATTCAGATGACCTCATTAGACTCCTTAAAAACTGTCATACAGTTCCACAGTAGACAAGCTGCATTTCTGTATCAGCGTCTTTGCAGTGGCTAATCCCTCAAATTAGAATGCCCTTCTCTAGATAGCCACTTGTCTTACCCTTTCATTTTGTTTAGGCCTTTTTTTGTCAAGTTTTGTCTGGTTAGAGATGACTCCTCTAACTGCCTGTATAAAATTATAAAATAACATCCCTCTGTTTTCATCTTTCATGGCATTTATCATTCACATTGTGTGTCCATCTGTGTTTGTGTGTGTGTGTGTTTGTCTGTATGCTTTCCTTCTATTTATTTTTCTCTCTCCACCAGAATATAAGCTCCTTAGGAACAAGTCTTTATTTTGTTCACTGTTGTACCTCCAGTGTTATGAAAGTTCTCATCACACAGAGGCCTTTGATTAATATTTTTAAATATTTATCTAGCCCCAGCCTAGACTCTTTCTTTTCTTTTTAACAGGAACACAAAACCTTTCCCAGAAGTCCCTTGAAATATTCCTCTTTTGTTTCATAGGCCAAAAATTTGTTACATGGCATCCCTACAATAAAGAGAGGCTGATAAACTTTGAGCTTTTGTCCCCTATAGCTAAAGGAGGCAAGGGAGAAGGGATTGGGAATAGATTTGGGGTAGGCATTCATTGGTGACCACCATTCCAATCCCATTCCTCACCTAGTTGGGTCTTGCCACTGTCTTTTTAATCTTTCAGTTCAAACATCATTTCCTTGAGAATCTCTCCCCTGACCACCTCATCTACAATGTTCACTTCAGGTTCTTTCATTAAAAAATTTCACTGAACAATTTTTCAGTTATGATTTATAAATGTCACTTCTGCTCCCTCTTCCTGGAATTATCTTTTGCAGTTTTTCATCTAGCTGACTTCTCAGCTCAAACGTACAAGAAGCCTCCCTATGCCATCCCCTGTAAAATAGTACCACCTCCCAACCATGTAACTTTTGATTTCATTGACTGATTTATTTTCTTCATAGCATTTATAGATATCTGAAATTATTTATTTATTAGTTTATTGCCTGTTTTCTCCAGTAGAGTATAATATTGATAAGATAAAGTGCTTTTCTGCTTTGGACCACATGGCAGAAAATAGTGAGTGGCCTTTGTTAAAATTAACCCTTCTTATAGTCCCAAAAAGTTAAATTTTGAAGACATGTTAGTAAATAAACCAAAAGCAAAATGTATGCTGTCATGAGCACTTCTACCTCACTCCAAATAAGTGATTGAGTAACATGAGTTCTGAGACTTTTCTGACCTAAAGTCTGATGATAAAAGGTCAAAGTCAAGAGACATTAAAATCTAGGGCTATAGCATTCAACTCTGAAAACTGCCCAAAGGAGTCAGAAAATTGGGTTGAACATTTATCACAATTTGATAATATCTTGATTCATACAGAAATGTATAAAATTCCAAATACAGATATTCAAGAAATGTGGAATGGCTCCAAGAACCATATCAAGCCTTTGATAAATAATTTATCCAATTCCTGACATGTAAAGCATCAGGTTAAATAGGGTTATATTTTTTAATTGGGAAAATTGACCATCATAATGTGTAACTCATCAGGATGGAAGTCATTCTGAGGTCATGCTTAATGTAGTTTGGATGTTGCCCCCCACAAATCTCATGTTGAAACGTAGTCTCTAGTGTTGGAGGTAGGGCCTGGGAGGTGCTTGAATCATAGGGATGGAGCTCTCATGAATGGCTTAGCACTGTCCCCTTAGTGATGAATAAGTTCTCATTCTGGTAGTTCACACAAGATCTGGTTGTTTAGAAGAGTGTGGCACTACCCTCTACCCCCACCCTCCCTCGGCCCTACTCCCTCTTGCTCCAGCTCCTATCATGTGACATGTCGGTTCCCCTTCCCCTTCTGCCACAACTGTAAGCTTCCTGAAACCCTTGCCCGAAGCAGATGCTGGAGCCATGCTTGTACAGCTTGCAGAACTGTGAGCCAGTTAAGCCTCTTTTCTTTATAAATTATCCAACCTCAGGTATTTCTTTATAGCAATGCAAAAGCAGACTAATACGTGATCATTTGGTATTTTTTTCTGAAGTTACATTTTTTTTCTCTCCCCAAATATGAAAAAAGAAAACTTAGTTTCCAAAATATCTAATTATAAAGTCACATTATAACTGAGCATAATTATTTTCCAGTTTGAGCTGTGAGCTGGGAGCTTGGTGGCTGAAAGTACCCAGCAATTCCAAGGCTCTCAACCTCTCTCCAACTCAATTTATCATACTCCAGTAAGGGACAATATAGGAGTTTAATCAAGAGGGAAAACGGGGGTGACACTGTCAAAATGTAGCATCAATAGATTTCAAGCAGAGTAGTAAGAAGCACTGCCATTAGAGCATCATGTGTCCTCTAACTGCAGATAACCGTTCTTGATTCTGAAAAGGAACATGGTCCAGAGAGCAACTGATAATCCCTGGGAACTTTTATTTATTTATTTATTTATTTATTTATTTATTTATTTATTTATTTTTGAGACGGAGTCTCGCTCTGTCGCCCAGGCTAGAGTGCAGTGGCTTGATCTCGGCTCACTGCAAGCTCCACCTCATCCCTGGGAACTTTTTAACTGTCAATGCCTCAGATATGGCAAGGGCAAGTCATACCTGTGTACTCAGCTACTTCACTATCATGACCACCAGGAAGTTTTATCAGATGTGAACTCTCCAGCCTCCAGTTTCCCATTTCAGAAATACAGATTTCAAGGGTGGCCCCTCTCCCCCAAGTACTCCATATGATAGAATTCCCACAATAGCTATGGAAACTCTGGTTTTCAACTGCAAACATCAGGCATCCATTAAGATTCCAGGAATTCCTGCTAGATTTCAGGATTCTCTTAAAAGTACAAAAGTTCTAAGAGAAAGAAAGAAAACTTAGAAAATATTTTTTATAACTTTTTTCCCGAATGAAGAAGAAGAGGGAAGAGGAGGAGGAGGAGGAAGAGAGAAGGGCCACCTGCATTTGAAGGTTATTACCCTCTCTCTTTCTATACTCTAGGACCAACAGAACAAAAGCCTAATTTGAATGTCTTCTCTTCCTAGTGTCCTTGCCTCCTTACAAACTTAGTAAATATTTATGTGGCCCCTTATACCACTTTTTATTATTATCACAATTTTCTGTTAATTTACACTCATGACCCTTTGTCTTATTGCTACAACTAGAAATATTTGCTCTGTCTTTCCCCCATTAGCATGTGGCATGGTTCTAGGATCACAGAATGTTCTCCATGAAGACTTTCCCATTCATTGATGGATTAATTGACTGGTTGTCCTTCATATCCTGCACTAACCTCTATTACAGCATGGAGAGGTACTTTTGTTTCTCTGTCCCACTGCTACAACCCCTTCCCCTCACTTCTCATGGCTTCTCAGTAGAAAAAGACCAAACTTAGACAGGTTCCCATGTTTGAATTGTAGATATGTCAGCAAAGGGCAGCCAGGAAAAAAAAAAGAAAAAAAAAACAGTAGTTTTTTATTTGTCTCTTTGTGGTTTTGATATGTTGGAATGTATTCTCTGGAGACCTTTACCCAATGAATTAAAAGATCTGAAATTCCCTCATCAGAGTAACTCTTAATCCCTTTCCATCATTTAGCCTCAGTGCAAAAGCTATGAAGAAGAATTAAATTATCCCTTCCCCATATACCTTTAACATCTTTGAGGGTCATCTCAGTGTTCTGGGGAACTTATTTCAGAAAGACGTCTATAGATAGGTAGATTGTTTCTCTGATTTTGCCATCGGCAATAGAAGAATCAACTTCATTATTCAAATAGATGCTCTGGTTTTTATTTTTTGAGACAAGGAAGGAAAAGAAAGACTTGGAAAAACCCCAGGAAGGTATTCATGCTTTTTATAAGGGTTTGGCTGCCTGGCTTTAAAACTTGACTTGGCCCATAGTAGCTTCTCAATAAATGATGTTGACTGAAGCAGATTTTTATAATATTTGTTTTTGGTAAAAAGTGTCTTAGTACCTTTTAAGAGCAAAGATTTATGATAGCCTATTCTGTTGCCTGCTATTTTTGAGCAATCCATGACATTCTTTCAATAGTATAAAACCGGCAGCCTTGAGGGTAAGGTTTTGCATGTACCAAAATCTCCAGTTTTCAGCCCTAATATATTTGTATACCCTCAGCTTATCTAATTCCCCATGAAAGTTTGTCAAGCTAATCACTAGCTCTTATGATCAAAGACTATGTGGGCATTCAATTCCTATCCTATCATACTAAAGTTAATGAGGAAAAATTCAGCTAAGTATGGCTTTAGGGGGCTGGGTGTGGTGGCGCATGCCTGTAATTTCAGCACTTTGGGAGGCCGAGGCAGGTGGATAGCTTGAGGTCAGGAGTTCAAGACCAGCCTGAACAACATGGTGAAACCCCATCTTTACTAAAAATACAAAAATTAGCTGGGCATGGTGGCAGGTGCCTGTAATCCCAGCTACTTAGGAGGCTGAGTAAGGAGAATCGCTTGAACCCAGGAGGCAGAGGTTGCAGTGAGCCGAGATAGCACCACTGCACTCCAGCCTGGGTGACAAAGTGAGACTCCGGCTCAAAAAAAAAAAAAAAAAAAAAAAAAAAAAAAAAATATATATATATATATATATATATATATATATATATATGTATATGGCTTTGGAGAAAGTGCTAGGGATTAATTTGTAGGGCTGGAAAGACACAAATGTATACATCTAACCTGTGTTTCTCCCCTAGGAATTCTACCTGTGAATCTTACATGGTCAGGCTCTTACAGCTTGGCTTATGGTGACTTTCAGCTCTTGGTAGAGAGCTGAGAAAGCCAATCCATAAATATTTACCACATCTGTAATTTTCAGCATTCTTATTGGTCCACTCTTTGCATCTGTCTAATTTTTTCATTTTCATGACTGCCTATAACTGAAAGAATGAACACTTTCGTCTTCAGCTTGACAGCCATGCCCAAGACATCTACCTTTCTTTCTCTGGAATCATTTCAAATAATCATTTCAATTCTAAGATTCAGTAACCTCGGTCTCTCAATTCTTAAGCATCATGCTTACATTCAGTCTTCTCAATGCTCAAAGAGGAGTGTGTGATAAACAGAAAGGTTGGTATTGTTTTTCATCCCCATGTATATGAAAAAAAAGTTGCTCCATGCTAAGATTAGAAGAGTTCAATTAGACATAGAAAAATCATGAAGTTGATGAAGTTTCCCTAAAGCACCTCCTCCCCGTCATGTTCCTTCTCTGCCTCCTTCATTTTAATATCTTTTGCTTCAGAAGTAACCACAAAGTGATGAGGACCTACCCCTGCCTGTTTCAACAGACACGGTCTATTCACACAACACACATTATTATTTTAGTCACTATGTTATCTACTTCTAAGCTGCCTTCATTTTGAAAACACAACATAAATCTGACCTCTCCAAATTGTCTCTGGGAAAAGGAATTGAGAGAAAAAAACATCTCCTCTCTTGGGTTTTCTTACACTTTTCTTTTCCCCTCTAGGGTTTTGTCACATGTTATTCCTAATGGTCTCAGCTCTCCTCCCTCACTGAGGTTCCTTACTGTCCTTCTCCGTGACCCACCATAGACAAAGATTCCTGGATATTCTTAGCACAACAGAGGCAGCCTCAGGCTCTCAACAAAACTTTACCAAAACGTAAAATAAAAACCATGAAAGAAAATGATGGTGGAAAATACAGATAACTTTAAAAATAGCCACATTTTCAACCTGTATGTTTTTTATCTCAAGCATTCTAATAAAAGGAAACCAGGGTCTTACTGAGTACAAAGAAGGGCTCTTCCTTGGATAAGAACATATTAGTCTGGGAATTGCTGGGGTAACTCCAAAGGTAGATCTTATTCTCTCCCAGATTTGGAGGTCTACTGCCTGTAAGTTCTGTTTTGTTTTCTCATGTTTAAAGTTGGGCCTATTTAAACTCTTCAAAGTGGCACAGTGTCTTGGTTCTACCCTCCTGACCAGAAAGTTACATATACCATTTCCAGTTTTCAGTTGGAAGAAAATCACCTTTGAAATGCAAGACAGTCATGACTGACAATATAGGGATATAGGATAATGCAGTGATTCATTTCCTAGCTATGTCACATAGTAGCTGTGTGACCTTCAGCATATTACTTCCTTTCCGTGCCTCAGTTTCCTTATCTATAAAATGGGAATAATAATGGTACTTACTTCACAGCAGTTTTTTGTTTGTTTTTCAGGATTAAATTACTTAATTCAAATGAAATATTTTGAAAAGACTGAATTTTGTTGTTGTTGTTGTTGATACTGACACGCTAAAGAACAAAGGAATTATTTATCCCTTCTTGACCCATCTCCAGCCATCAGTAAATTTTTTATATCATTGTATCATATTTAATTCAGGTCTGCTCTAACTCATTCCCAGGGAAATAGCTTGCAAACATGTGCCTATGACAATTTCATAGTGTAATAATTCCTTAGTCTTTCATTAAAAAATTTTCATTAAAAAAATTTTTGATTGATCCCCAGTTCCAAAGATGGTCTCCAGTCAACTATGACTTTAGGTGTTTATGCCCTTGTGCATTTACCCCCAACATTGGGCCTACACTGGCCCATGATTCACTTTAACCAATAGAATATGGTAAAAGTAACACCATGACAATTTATGGTCAACGCCTTAAGAAAGCTTGGCAGGCCCTGCTTTTATGCTCTGTGGGGGACTTTTAGCTGCCATGTAAGTGGTCCACCTACCCTGCTAGAGAGACCCCATGAAAAGGCCATGCAGAGGAGAGACCCTAAAATTACATGGAGAGAATCCCAGCACTGCTTGCATCCCAGCTGAGCTCAGCCTTACAGCCAACTTCACCAAGGCCCCAGACATGAGAGTGAGGGCCTCCCGGGTGCTCCAACTCTGGAGCAAAACAGTGGCTCAGCACAATCCAGCCAGTCCACAGACTCAGGAGAGGTAATACAATGGTTATTGTTTTAGGCCACAAAGTTTCAGGGTAGGTTGTTACGTATCAATAGAAAGACTAACCATATAGGAACTCCTTGTCTGCCATTTATAGATGAATAACCTGGAGGGAGTTATTGAACCTTCATAAGGTCAGTTTCCTCCACTTTAACATGGGACAGTAGTAATACTTCACAGAGCTGTTGTAAGCACCAGCTATACTGTTGTAAGCACCAGCTATACTGTATGCAAAACTCTTGGAATTTTTTAATAAATGGTAGTAATTATAAGCAGTTAGAGGTTGTTAGTTTTCTGACACATTCCTAAAGGGAGTTTTATTTCAAATAGGTAACCTGATGACCATAAGTCTTAACCTAAGTTGCTATTCATGTTTGCAGAGGCTGCTTCCTCCCTGTGTTTGCATAAAGTAGGGCTGAATGTGAACATCTTTCTCTCCACCCGTAAAATTCAGGAGATAAGAACCGTAACCTATCTGACATATTCTGTACTTTTAAACAACTGTCTTGCTTTATTTTGTATAAGCAAAATATGTATTCATTTGTTATGTCAACAGCAAGTAATTACAATTGTTAAACATGGCATCACAAAGTTCTCACCCTAGCTTCCAGTTTAATGCTTCCTGAGAAGCAGTGGAAGATTTGTAAAATAAATGGTGTAAAACATGGGATGTTTTGGGTATGACAAATCTCATTTATTTTCACTGTCATCACTCACCCTGGTATATAATACCTGCTCCCTGCAGACTGAAATATTGCAGATGTTTTCAAAATAATATTAGGCTATGGAGAGACCACCAGAAATTTTCATCTGGTCACTTTCAGTTTAAATTCTCATCTACAAAGTTTCTTCATGTGTGTATTTCAAAAGCTTAAGCTTTCTTGGGCACTTGCTCCTGGAGCCAGCTGCCCACCCAACATCCAGCTGCAGAGAACTTGAAGAGTTCCTGGCATTCCATGAAGCACGTAGGATTGAGGAACAAGGAGGCGAGAGATAAAACTAGTTATAACTATTCATTAGTTTTTGGTACATCAGATAATTTGTGTGATGGCTTCAGGGCTCTAATTGAATCACTTTTCCCACCTTGTCTTAATTTTAATTATGCAGCAATCATTTTTACCAACCTGTGTAAAGAAGCCATATGAAAATGTGACATATGACAATATACATTTACCTAAGCTCCAGGACTACAGTGACCTACAGGCAATTAGCTACTGCCTCTAGCACTGAAACGACCAATTAAAGAGTTAACGAAATGCCCTCCAAATCACCTACATGTTCAGGTTTTTTGGACTGCCAGGAACATTGCACTTCAACTGATATAATTTTTGACTGACTGATTTAGTAAGTCTACGTCTGCTAAAATTCCAGACTCATGCCTGTAAAACTGAGGAGTCAGGTTTTATGAGGTGCTTTCACTGTCATTAAAGACAATCCCACCTTAGCCCTTCTCCTAACAAGACAATCTTGCAGCCGTCATTATGAGACGTGATCCTAGCTTGTCATCATGGAAAAAAGTGGCTTGCTAGGTCAATAAGGTTAGAACTGAGTTCATCTCATGGATGTAAGACATTCACTGTAGTGGCTATAAGCCAGGAAGTAAATATAAAGAAGGAAGGAAGGGAAGGAAGGGAGGAAGGAAGTGAAGAAAGAATGAGGAAAGAAAAGAAAGAAAAGGAATGAAGGAAGGAAGGCAGGCAGGCAGGCAGGCAGGCTGGGTTGATATTTTAAACTATATTTTTAATGTTCATAGCTATCCTAAAATTTAGATATGGATTAAGCTAAGGAGAAAAGGAAGCAACAGCCATCATCATGAAACTTTCTGAATTGTTCCAGACTTTCCTTGAGATAATATATGTCCAAATGCAAAATCCATACTAAGAGTTGAATAGGTTGGTTTCCGTGGGTATAGTCCCTGCAATAAGAATTTATTAAATAAGTCATCCCACAAAGGCCCAGGAATGGTGTGAAAAAGCAGACAAGAAAGGGAAGAAGCCAACACAGGATGTCTTAGTAAACCCATTACCCCTGTGGTCAACTGCAGCTGAAGCCTGCTGGGGACAACTGAATGACAGGGTTGAACAAGTAGAGCTGTCCCACCTGAGGTACAAAATAGCGGCCTTATTTATCCGACAACTCCTGTCAGTCATTGGCCTGCTCCATAGGAAGGCTGGACATACTCCAACAGCCAGAGAAAGCTCTCAAGCAGAGAGTTGAGGTGCTTACAGTAGAAAGCCTTCAACATGCACAGGATGGTGAGTATTGAGATTATCTGTGTAAGGACATCAAGAGTTTACTACAAATATTGACCCAAAATTTATGGTGTTTGAGCAATAACAAATTTCCTTGTGGGGCTTGCTTGAACTGGTCCAGTTCACATGGCTCATTCATTGTATCTTGGATGTAAAGGTAATCTGTTTGTCTGTTGTGACCCATTTAAATCCCTAAGATCTGTCTTTGGGGTAGAACACCTCAGGGCACCACTCTTGCCCTTTGGGATGTCACAGAATGAAAGGACCGGTGAGGAACAAGAAGTAACATAAGATCTATGAAAAAGCTCATTACTTCTCTGCAAATCACATATTTTATTTGGCTGGGCACCTGACTGGGGTAAGCCCATAGAAAATATGTTTGCTAAATTAAAATAAATTGGGACACAGGCCTAATAACTAAATATGTTACAAGAAACAAAGAATTTAAAAAGGGATCTAATGAAAATCTGAACCAAATTATAACCAGTGATCAGAACCTTCCTCTAAACTACTTTAACTGAGATCTAGACATGCACATTAAACATTATAAAGACAAAGACAAAAAAAATCGGGAAACGCATAGGGAGTTATATTGAGTCTCTTTTTTGGAACAAATCAAATAACCTAAAACGAACTCTATTGTCATTCTTACTCGAAGAGTTAGTTTTAAGGGGATGTCCAGATATCACAAAAAGAAAATACTCTTTTTCAGATGTCTTCTTCCTGATTTCATGGCAGAAATCCCAAGTTTTCAGTCAGTCAGTCAATACACATGCAGCACTTGTATCAAGTCAAGAAATATCCACTAGGTACCTACTAACATTCCAGAAGTGAGCTCATGACTAAAGCTCAGACAAACCAAACTGTAGGGCTCTGCCCTTTCACATCTGCCAGAGATGGGCTGATGGATGGATGACAGATGCATGAATGCATTCATTGGTTAAGTGATTGAATTAATGAATGAATGAACTCCTTCATTCCAACCTCTTCGAGGATAGTAACCTTGTCTTTTCTACTCTGTAAACTATGTACCCCCTTTGATGCTTCATGCATGTTGTAGACACTCCATGAATGACTGTTGATAACATAAGAACAATGCAAAGATTTGTTCAGTGTAAGCTTCTATTGTAAGACCTGTAATTCTTGAAATGCTGCAACACTTTTCCTGATTAAGTGTTAATGGAACACACAGAAGAGTGAAACTTTTTACAAACCCGTAGCAACACTCTTTGGCTGCGGTCTTTAATTCTGGCTTCAAATGGTTAGGACTTTCTACCTCCTCTAGAAGGATTTTCTAGATTAAGGAACAAGTGGTTTTTCTCTCACTCATTTCTTTACCTTTGTGCCAGATATTCTTCCACCCACAAGATAAAGTTTTGTCTTCTTTCTACAGGTTGTCTTCATATTTCAACATTCCATTTATTACATTTTTGTGAATAAAGGCTTCCCACTGCCCTTCTGCTGCCTTTACACTTTCTCTTGAGAGTGTCCATTTGTACGCAAATTAGTGCAGTCAAGCAGCCATGTATGTTAGGCATTTTACTGATCAGTTCTTCACTTTTGTCTGAAAATTTGAAAAAATTTTGTTCAATTTTAGTGCATGCTTTGGGCTTGAACAAATACAAATAATTTTATGAATAGGTCAATTTTTTATAGCTGTCATTATCATCTATTCTGTTTTATTAAGACATTGTTGATATTTTAGATTAAAAGCTTCCAGATGACAGGGATTGTGAACACCACCTTAATTACCCTTAGACAGAGTAAAGATTTGTTACCTTGTCTCAGGGTTAAAAGATGTATTTGACATTGTGTTGTCCAAGTGGCCCATTTGCTGCTCCCATCCTTTCAATGACATTGCTGTGTCTACCTTCTGATCATCAATGTGAATAAATTGCTTCAAGATAGTATTAAGCCTGGCATTTCATAGTGGGAGTATATATTTAAAATATTAATTCCTAGCAAATAAGTAGTCTACTGACTTAGTATCTATTCACATTAAATCTGGCAGAAATCAGAAAGTTTCTTGAGAGCAGAATTTAGAAAAGTGTGATTGATAGACACTGAAGAGTAAAGAGAAAGACAGGAGGCAAGTGGACTTAAGGACAACTGTGTTGGTTATCTCTCATTGCAATTATACAGCATAACAAACAGCACAGCAGCTTGGTGGCATGCAATGATAGACTTTGATTTTTGCTGTAAGTCTATGCCTTGGTTAGCTGCCTCTGCCTGTCTGAGCTTGGCTTTCTTATTCCCCTGTAGTCAGCAGGTAGGTCAGCTGAGGATCTGGCTAGTATAGCAGGGACTCAGTTGGGATGACCTGCCTCTGGTCCATGTGGTCTCTCTTCCTCCAGCAGAAAAATCAGGAAACTTTCTCATGGCAGGGTAGGAGTCCAAGAGAGAACAAAAGAACACAAGCGCTCTTGAGGCCTATGGTCAGAGCAGGCACACCCATATCATCATTTACACCACATTCCATTGGTCCAAAGTAGTTACAAGACCAACCAAAATTCAAGGGGTGAAGAAATTTACGCCATCTTTTGCTGAGAGGAGGTGCAAGTCCCATTGCAGAGGAAGAAAATCTATAAAACAAGGCCACTAACCTGCACCATCAATCTAATCTACCATTAACAAAACAATTCAGTGGATAAAAAGGGAGTTACAACAAAGAAAAAAAAGTGGCCGGGTGCAGTGGCTCACACCTGTAATCCCAGCACTTTGAGAGGCCAAGGCAGCAGATCACTTGAGGTCAGGAGTTCGAGACCAGCCTGGCCAACGTGGTGAAATCTCATCTCTACCAAAAATACAAAAACTAGCTGGGTGTGGTGGCAGGCACCTGTAATCCCAGCTACTGGGAGGCTGAGGCAGGAGAAACACTTGAACCCAGGAGGCGAAGGTTGCAGTGAGCTAAGATGGAGCCACCACACTCCAGCCTGGGTGACAGAGCAGGACTCTGTCTCAAAACAAAACAAACCAAGAGCAACTGATCCTCTTAAATAAATTAAAAACTAATGGGAGAGAGAGAAGAAACAATCATTTATTCAATTAGTCAGTAGACATTTACCAGTTGTCTACATTCAAGCTTCCTATTGGGTAGACATATGATTCAAATATAGCCCCTATTCTCAGATAGTTCAGGATCTCAAGAGTTTGCATGGAGCAAGCATCATTTGGATGGTGTTTTGCACACTGTTACAGATAATGAATATTTATTGGCCAGTGGTAGGATTAATGCTAAACAAAGCATAAAGTTTCCAGAAAACATTCTCTTAGATTCCATAAGACCATTAGACCGTTTTTGGATGGGAATCCTTCAGTGTTTAGAATATGGTAAAAAATGAAGAAAAAATGTAAATGTCTAAGAGAGATTGATATGTACACTTAACTTCCCTGTGTAATCCTGTCCTTTTTCTGTTTTTTTTTTTTTTTTTTTTTTTTTTTTTTTTTTTAAGGGGATAGGGTTGCACTCAGCTGGCAGAGTCAAAACACAAGTTAAGGGACCTTCCTAATCACAAGGTAAGCACTACTAGTACAACATAGGAGCCTCTCAGCAATAACTGACCTGACAGCCCAGATCGGGGCAGGAGCCCTAAGTCAGGCAGGTCCTGTATCCTCAGGTCCTCTAATTTCCAGGTCAGTGAAGACAGAGAACAGCTAGGCTGTGACAGGTGTTCTCTCTTCCATGTTTCATGAAGGACAGGTAGGAGGAGTAACAAACTGACAATTCAAACTTACCCATATTTTAATGTGTATGTACACGCACATACACATGACACATCATACATTCACACACACACGCATTGTACACATATAAGTTGAACCAATCAATACACACTGAAAAATCTTTGGCCTTGGGTTTATTCTTATAGACATCTTTTGACCTCACTGTGGAGGCCAAGAAAGCTGTGTGAAGAGAGAAAGGCTGTGAGCTGGTACTGAGGGCCTCCTTGATTTGAAAAGCGAATTTCAAGATGAAAATAATCAGGAAGAACTAATACCACACGGTTGTTTATGTGTGCGTGTGATTGTGTGGACGTGAATGCATGTGATTATGCCTCAGTGTGTCTGTGTGTAATGGGGCATTAACACCAGCTCACATAAGCTGCTCTGCTTTATAAGTTGGTATTTTTTTTTTTTAAAGAAAATCAAGCCATTTTTTTCCTTCTCGTTCTCAAAGATGAAGCAGTTTACAGATGCTGAATCCTTTTTTAGGAATAATTCTCAATGCATCATTCAAATATCCTTTGAGCTGAGCACACGATATGCACATCATGAATACATATAATCACCGTGCAATCCTTTGTGAAGATTTTGAAAATAGCATCTAAAAGAGCCGACCGTGTGTCTCCATCTGAGGATGTGCATTTGGTGAGTGTGGCTGAGCTGATTCTGGCCACTTATTTCCTCTTTAATGGGCCCTGTTGCATCTCCTGTGGTTTGAAACACTGAAAATTTCAGTGGTTCTGGTAGTTTAAAAGTAAATCACAATTTCTGGGCCTTTATAAGAATTGTTTTGCAAGTCTGTCCATATCAGAGAGTACTTGCGGAATTTCAAAACAAGGCATACAAATAGATATATTTTTTTAAAAGATCGTCACCCTAAAATTAGCTAATTTCATCCTCTTCTTGGCCTGCTTGAGGCTGATGTGATTGAATTTCCAAAGCCTGATGTGGCAAGCTATATTGCTAGTATTTATCTACTAGAAACATTTACAAATGCTCAAAGTGCAATTTAACAACAACAATCCAGTTAGAAAGCATTTTTCTTGCTATCATGGTGACTCATTGTTCACAACGTTGAGGACTCTTTTCTTCTCCTTCTTCCTTAGAAATATGTAACAAAGATTTTAAGAAAATGGTAGTTATTTACTAGAGCTCATAAAACTTAGCCTAGAGGACTGCATATCCTTCTCTCTTATCCAGACTGAGATATAAGGAAGGTCTGAAGTCACTTCCTTGTTGTCCCTCTTTCTTACAACTCCCCATCCTGAAACCTGCGATTTAAAACACCAGACCTATAAAGTAAAAATGTTATATTCTCCAGTTTGGAGAACATAAGGTTTTCTGATAAATTCTTTTAAGTAAACCTGAAGTTCGTTTGTACAAGGTGGCACTCTAAATGACTTCAACTGCCCCAACCCCTCTTCCAGATTCTAGTGGTCTTTAGCTATTTTTGATCTGTGAAATCTGATATTCAAAATCACATGTTACTTGAAATATAAAACCAACCAGTGGTGGTGGATCACAACTGTAATCCCAGCACTTTGGGAGGCCAATGCGGGTAGATCACTTGGGTCTAGGAGTTCAAGACCTGCCTGGGCAACAGGGCAAAGCCCCATCTCCCGAAAAAATACAAAATATTAGCTGAGTGTGTTGGTGTGCACCTGTAGTCTCAGCTACTCGGGAGGCTGAGATGGGCGGATCACTTGAGCCTGGGAGGCTGAAGGTTGCAGTGAGCCGAGATCAGGCTACTGCACTCCAGTCTGAGCAGCAGAGCAAGATCCTGTCTCAAAAAGAAAAGAAAAAAGGAAACATAAAACCAAACATGAGACATACGCTTCTCATTATTGTTTTATAAAGATGGCCTCTGAAATTTAGAAGGTAAAAGAGTTGTTAACAGGGCAGTGGCCTATGTAGTCCTCCATCTCCACAGACTAATATTAATAACTTCAGAGTAAATACAATAACATAGTTTATTTATATAAAATGTCTATTTATTCAAAAAGCTTTCATATATATATGTCTGTCTGTTACAGGTAATTCAAAAACAACATACATTATTACCTAGCCCCTAAATTCCAAAATTTATTTCTCATTTTGAATACAATTATCAAGTGCCTTCTTTGCATTTAACACAATGCTCATATTTTAGGCCAGTGTGTTTTAAAAGAAAATGTAAAGCAACTTTATTGTATTGAAAGGCTAGCATAAACAAACATTAAGATACATTAGAAAGCAAGATCAATTCATAAGGAACTTTGTCATTTGCATGGTGATCAACAAACTAATAATGGGTATTTCTGGAGAACATGCACTATGGTGAGTTACAGAGGAAATCTAAGGTTTACTCCTTAACTTCGTGTACCTTACAATAAGGTTTGGGAGAAAACAGCAGAGGAGGAGAGAGGAAAGGAGAAGTCAATAGGGGCTTGAGAGGACATATTAAGCCATTATTTAAACTAGCTGGAAAGATTAAGCGAGAATCTGCTGAAACACTTCTGTTTTTTTTCCCTGTAGACAAGCCAATGGCAAGAACAGGGAAAGGGCTCTGATGAACCTACTCCTTCCGCCTTCGAAAACCCCAGGATGCGTAGAGGTGTTTGTAGTATTCTCTGATGGTAGTTTGTATTTCTGTGGGATCGGTGGTGATATCCCCTTTATCATTTTTTATTGTGTCTATTTCATTCTTCTCTCTTTTTTTCTTTATTAGTCTTGCTAGCGGTCTATCAATTTTGTTGATCCTTTCAAAAAACCAGCTCCTGGATTCATTGATTTTTTGAAGGGTTTTTTGTGTCTCTATTTCCTTCAGTTCTGCTCTGATTTTAGTTATTTCTTGCCTTCTGCTAGCTTTTGAATGTGTTTGCTCTTGCTTTTCTAGTTCTTTTAATTGTGATGTTAGGGTGTCAATTTTGGATCTTTCCTGCTTTCTCTTGTGGGCATTTAGTGCTATAAATTTCCCTCTACACACTGCTTTGAATGCGTCCCAGAGATTCTGGTATGTTGTGTCTTTGTTCTCGTTGGTTTCAAAGAACATCTTTATTTCTGCCTTCATTTCGTTATGTACCCAGTAGTCATTCAGGAGCAGGTTGTTCAGTTTCCATGTAGTTGAGCAGCTTTGAGTGAGATTCTTAATCCTGAGTTCTAGTTTGATGGCACTGTGGTCTGAGAGATAGTTTGTTATAATTTCTGTTCTTTTACATTTGCTGAGGAGAGCTTTACTTCCAACTATGTGGTCAATTTTGGAATAGGTGTTGTGTGGTGCTGAAAAAAATGTATATTCTGTTGATTTGGGGTGGAGGGTTCTGTAGATGTCTATTAGGTCTGCTTGGTGCAGAGCTGAGTTCAATTCCTGGGTATCCTTGTTGATTTTCTGTCTTGTTGATCTGTCTAATGTTGACAGTGGGGTGTTAAAGTCTCCCATTATTAATGTGTGGGAGTCTAAGTCTCTTTGTAGGTCACTCAGGACTTGCTTTATGAATCTGGGTGCTCCTGTATTGGGTGCATATATATTTAGGATAGTTAGCTCTTTTTGTTGAATTGATCCCTTTACCATTACGTAATGGCCTTCTTTGTCTCTTTTGATCTTTGTTGGTTTAAAGTCTGTTTTATCAGAGACTAGGATTACAACCCCTGCCTTTTTTTGTTTTCCATTTGCTTGGTAGATCTTCCTCCATCCTTTTATTTTGAGCCTATGTGTGTCTCTGCATGTGAGATGGGTTTCCTGAATACAGCACACTGATGGGTCTTGACTCTTTATCCAATTTGCCAGTCTGTGTCTTTTAATTGGAGAATTTAGTCCATTTACATTTAAAGTTAATATTGTTATGTGTGAATTTGATCCTGTCATTATGATGTTAGCTGGTGATTTTGCTCGTTAGTTGATGCAGTTTCTTCCTAGTCTCGATGGTCTTTACAATTTGGCATGATTTTGCAGCGGCTGGTACCGGTTGTTCCTTTCCATGTTTAGCGCTTCCTTCAGGAGCTCTTTTAGGGCAGGCCTGGTGGTGACAAAATCTCTCAGCATTTGCTTGTCTGTAAAGTATTTCATTTCTCCTTCACTTATGAAGCTTAGTTTGGCTGGATATGAAATCCTGGGTTGAAAATTCTTTTCTTTAAGAATGTTGAATATTGGCCCCCACTCTCTTCTGGCTTGTAGGGTTTCTGCCGAGAGATCCACTGTTAGTCTGATGGTCTTCCCTTTGAGGGTAACCCGACCTTTCTCTCTGGCTGCCCTTAACATTTTTTCCTTCATTTCAACTTTGGTGAATCTGACAATTATGTGTCTAGAAAATCTAGAAGAAATGGATACATTCCTCGACACATACACTCTTCCAAGACTAAACCAGGAGGAAGTTGAATCTCTGAATAGACCAATAACAGGACCTGAAATTGTGGCAATAATCAATAGTTTACCAACCAAAAAGAGTCCAGGACCAGATGGATTCACAGCCGAATTCTACCAGAGGTACAAGGAGGAACTGGTACCATTCCTTCTGAAACTATTCCAATCAATAGAAAAAGACGGAATCCTCCCTAACTCATTTTATAAGGCCAGCATCATTCTGATACCAAAGCCGGGCAGAGACACAACCAAAAAAGAGAATTTTAGACCAATATCCTTGATGAACATTGATGCAAAAATCCTCAATAAAATACTGGCAAACCGAATCCAGCAGCACATCAAAAAGCTTATCCACCATGATCAAGTGGGCTTCATCCCTGGGATGCAAGGCTGGTTCAATATACGCAAATCAATAAATGTAATCCAGCATATAAACAGAGCCAAAGACAAAAACCACGTGATTATCCCAATAGATGCAGAAAAAGCCTTTGACAAAATTCAACAACCCTTCATGCTAAAAACTCTCAATAAATTAGGTATTGATGGGATGTATTTCAAAATAATAAGAGCTATCTATGACAAACCCACAGCCAATATCATACTGAATGGGCAAAAACTGGAAGCATTCCCTTTGAAAACTGGCACAAGACAGGGATGCCCTCTCTCACCGCTCCTATTCAACATAGTGTTGGAAGTTCTGGCCAGGGCAATTAGGCAGGAGAAGGAAATAAAGGGTATTCAATTAGGAAAAGAGGAAGTCAAATTGTCCCTGTTTGCAGACGACATGATTGTATATCTAGAAAACCCCATTGTCTCAGCCCAAAATCTTCTTAAGCTGATAAGCAACTTCAGCAAAGTCTCAGGATACAAAATCAATGTACAAAAATCACAAGCATTCTTATACACCAACAACAGACAAACAGAGAGCCAAATCATGAGTGAACTCCCATTCACAATTGCTTCAAAGAGTATAAAATACCTAGGAATCCAACTTACAAGGGATGTGAAGGACCTCTTCAAGGAGAACTACAAACCACTGCTCAAGGAAATAAAAGAGGACACAAACAAATGGAAGAACATTCCATGCTCATGGGTAGGAAGAATCAATATCGTGAAAATGGCCATATTGCCCAAGGTAATTTACAGATTCAATGCCATCCCCATCAAGCTACCAATGACTTTCTTCACAGAATTGGAAAAAACTACTTTAAAGTTCATATGGAACCAAAAAAGAGCCCGCATCGCCAAGTCAATCCTAAGCCAAAAGAACAAAGCTGGAGGCATCACACTACCTGACTTCAAACTATACTACAGGGCTACAGTAACCAAAACAGCATGGTACTGGTACCAAAACAGAGATATAGATCAATGGAACAGAACAGAGCCCTCAGAAATAACGCCGCATACCTACAACTATCTGATCTTTGACAAACCTGAGAAAAACAAGCAATGGGGAAAGGATTCCCTATTTAATAAATGGTGCTGGGAAAGCTGGCTAGCCATATGTAGAAAGCTGAAACTGGATCCCTTCCTTACACCTTATAGAAAAATCAATTCAAGATGGATTAAAGCTTTAAACGTTAGACCTAAAACCATAAAAACCCTAGAAGAAAACCTAGGCATTACCATTCAGGACATAGGCATGGGCAAGGACTTCATGTCCAAAACACCAAAAGCAATGGCAACAAAAGCCAAAATTGACAAATGGGATCTAATTAAACTAAAGAGCTTCTGCACAGCAAAAGAAACTACCATCAGAGTGAACAGGCAACCTAAAAAATGGGAGAAAATTTTCACAACCTACTCATCTGACAAAGGGCTAATATCCAGAATCTACAATGAACTCAAACAAATTTACAAGAAAAAAACAAACAACCCCATCAAAAAGTGGGCGAAGGACATGAACAGACACTTCTCAAAAGAAGACATTTATGCAGCCAAAAAACACATGAAAAAATGCTCATCATCACTGGCCACCAGAGAAATGCAAATCAAAACCACAATGAGATACCATCTCACACCAGTTAGAATGGCAATCATTAAAAAGTCAGGAAACAACAGGTGCTGGAGAGGATGTGGAGAAATAGGAACACTTTTACACTGTTGGTGGGACTGTAAACTAGTTCAACCATTGTGGAAGTCAGTGTGGAGATTCCTCAGGGATCTAGAACTAGAAATACCATTTGACCCAGCCATCCCATTACTGGGTATATACCCAAATGACTATAAATCATGCTGCTATAAAGACACATGCACACGTATGTTTATTGCGGCATTATTCACAATATCAAAGACTTGGAACCAACCCAAATGTCCAACAATGATAGACTGGATTAAGAAAATGTGGCACATATACACCATGGAATACTATGCAGCCATAAAAAATGATGAGTTCATGTCCTTTGTAGGGACATGGATGAAATTGGAAATCATCATTCTCAGTAAACTATCGCAAGAACAAAAAACCAAACACCGCATATTCTCACTCATAGGTAGGAATTGAACAATGAGATCACATGGACACAGGAAGGGGAATATCACACTCTGGGGACTGTGGTGGGGTCGGGGGAGGGGGGGAGGGATAGCACTGGGAGATATACCTAATGCTAGATGACGAGTTAGTGGGTGCAGCGCACCAGCATGGCACATGTATACATATGTAACTAACCTGCACAATGTGCACATGTATCCTAAAACTTAAAGTATAATAATAAAAAAAATAAAAATAAAAATCAAAAAAGAAAATTAAAAAAAAAAAAAAAAAGAAAACCCCAGGATGCAGTTGTGCATCTCACATAGAGGCGGATCCTTGAGCAGTTGTGAAGAGAAGGAGGGAAAAATACAGAATCTCTCTTCAATATTTTCTTTAGTCAAAGAATGTTATTATCTTTTGAAAATCAAACAACCTCTTCTTACCTCTCTAGCTTCATGTCTCATCCACAGCCCCTTCATCAACCGGTTAGTTCATCCAGTATTTTAGTTAATTTCAATCTGAAATATATATCATGCCCTCAGTTCCTGAAATACTGCTATTCTGGTTCCTCCTGCCTGGAGTGTACTGCTTAGCCTTTTTTTTGGACTGATTAACTGCTGCTTTAAACTCTACCTTCAGTGTGGCACCTTCAGTGCCCCAAAAGCCTGAGTTAGTTGATCCCCCAGTAAGTTCCCCCATTTCAGCCTATATGAACCATTCTGTACATTTCTTACATTTCTTTATAGGAAGTAAATACTTTGGCACATAGTAAGCACTCAGATTTCTATCTAGCATATAACACTAAATAAATGTTAGCTATTATTATTCCCTTACTATTTTGTAGTTATCTGATTCCTTGATATTCCCCCTCACCAAAATCTCAGCTAGATTCTGTCTTGTTCACCAATGCAATCTCTTACCTAGCACAGCTCCAGGCACATGGTATTTCAGTTATTACACATATCCATTGGTATTTTCATTTAATAGTTTCTCTTCTCCCCAATAAGACACCCCATCAAAGCCCCAAACAAAATTCTTCTTTCAAAAGTACAAAACAAAGGAGAAGTGGGAAGAAGAGGATGAGACAAGACCTGGTGCAAGTAGAAAACTGTGAGACTTCCCATTACCATAAACAATGGAGAGGTAGTTTTGATTTTGTGGAGCCTGTTATAGATTAGCGTGTGTGTGATTCTTTTTAATACTACGGTTTTGAGTGTATTGTTTGATCTGAGTTCCTGTTTGTGTTTCACAAGAGGAGATACATACTTCAAGAATATTTAGGTCTATAATTTAAATAGGATACTCTTTATTTGTTTTCAGAATTTGTGTTTAAGAGTTTCCTTTTCAAGGCTTTCGGGTGAATCCCAGAGATAACTGATATAAATTGAGATCTCCTTCCAGTTTCTCATCCATAAAAGGGGAAAATGATAATAATTATTTCATGGAGTTCTTAAGAAGTAAGGTCGGCTAGGCCGGGGGTGGTGGCTCACACCTGTAATCCCAGCACTTTGGGAGGCTGAGGTGGGTGGATCACTTTAGGTCATGAGTTCAAGTCCAGCCTGTCCAACACGGTGAAACCTTGTCTCTACTAAAAATAAAAAAAATTAGCCAGGTGTGGTGGCAGGCACCTGTAATCCCAGCTACTCCAGAGGCTAAGGCAGGAGAATAGCTGGAACCTGGGAGGCAGAGGTTGCAGTGAGCTGAGATCGCACCACGACACTCCAGCCTGGGCAATAGAGTGAGACTCCGTCTCAAAAAAAGAGGAGGCTGAAAATGGTCCCCCAAACGATACCCACATTACGTTCCTAGAAACAGTGAATGTTACTTTATTTGGAAGAAAGGTATTTCCAGATGTGATTCAGTTAAGGATCTTAAAATGAGATAATCCTGGATTATCCATCCAGATGGGCCCTAAATCCAACGCAAGTAACCTTACGAGAGAAAGGCAGAGGGGAGGTTAGAGACCAAGAGAAGAAGGGAAGAGACAGAAACATACAGAGAATGCCATGTGAAGATTGAGGCAGAGACTGGAGTGATGCAACCACAAGCCAAGAAACTCCTGCTGGAAAAGTTAAGAAGGGATTATTCCCGGGAGCCTCTGGAGGAAGCACAGTCCTGCAGATACTTTGATTTCAGACTTCTGGCCCCCAGAGCTGTGAGAGAATAAATTTCTGTTGTTTTAAACCAGGAAGTTTGTGGTGATTTGTTGCAGCAGCTGAAGGAAACTACTACAGAAGGTCCAGTGAATTAATACACACAAGGAAACTACTACAGAAGGTCCAGTGAATTAATACACACAGGGCACAGCACCAGTTCCTGGAATATTCTCATTCATATACTCATTCATTCAACAAATATAAGTATCTCCCAAGTCCTAGGTCTATTATTATACTAAGAATATGGGAGCAGAGGAAGGGGAGTTAACTTTGAGGAAATTATACTCATAATTTTACACAGCATTTTGTGAGATGGAGAGTTTCTCCACCCCTGATTGACTAGCTCTACTTTGTGTTGCTATTGAAATGCTTTTCTTTCTATGGTGAAACCCACCCCTCCCCTTCCCCGAGACATTCATTTGCAATTTCTACACATACCCACATTCTAAAGCTTCTCCTCTTCACATCCTCACCAACCCCCACTTCCAGGGTAATCCCCAACTTGACCCCAAAGATACAAATCTCTAAAGATGTGGCAAATACGAAGAGGCTACTGCTCCTTACAAAGCATTAGTAGGATTTCTCTCAACAAAAAAGCAAGCTAGCCTTTCTGCTAATTTTGCCCAGTCTGTCTACATTCTGGAACATCATTTTTAAACTGGATATAGGTACTTGATCCTTGTTCACATTTATCAGTTATATATATTTTTTTGACTTTAGTCCATATAAATGACTCCTTCCCATGGGAAAGAGCAGAGGTTTTAGTAATTTTATCATGGGAACACCCTCCTCAGCAACTGAGACTGACTCTAATGCAATCCACCTCATGAAAGGAAGGTCATTTTCTTGTTTCATATGATGCTGAAAAGAGGCATGTTTGTTGTGAGCTAACAAGAAAAAGTAACAGAAAATGAAAAAAAGACGTATACTTCGTGCCAAAATAGCACATCACATTGCACGTCGCATCCTAGCAAGCAAGCACTGTTTCTAATTTTTTTAAATGCAGAAATAAATCATTTTAAAAATTATTTTAAAATCCTCATAACAGAAAGTAGAAAACAAAGTTTGAAACACTATGCATGGTACCTGCTACAGTGTTGAACATAACATCTTGCCCCAAGTAGGATTTATATTATGAGAACCCATAGCATCCATATCATATTTACCTATGTCACTGCAACAGATATGTCCTGTTCTTTTGTTGTTTAAACTTATTCCTTGCTTTTATAAAATACATTTTTCATCAGCAGTTTCTTCTTCTACCTATATTTTGTAAGGAGCCCTGGAAGAGATGTTTCTTTCAGGAAGTGACTGTTATGACAGAATTATAAACAGCCAAACGTATCTAGATTAATATAAACGTCCTGCATGTGACAATTTGCCCCCACCAGAAGCGATTTTTTAACAAGATTGAGCAATTTACCTGAGAAAAACATTTGACAGAGACAGAAACTGTGTCACTTGTCCAAAGGGAGGACACAGATAAATATTTTCATCTGGCTCCTGCTCAGTGCCTGACTCTAAGCTACACATCATTCATGTTTTTATTCATCACCTTACTATTTGAGCCAACATGAGCAAACTGCAAAGCTCAAGAGGGTGCACTCAGGCTCACCTCGTGGACAGTTGATCTGATGGACACCAAGGACCTGGACAAATGGATTCATTCAGTTCAGGAAGAAAAGTGAGTCAGAAGAAAGTAATAATATTGACTATCAAGCAATGCTAGGGTGGGTAGCTCTGTCTTTTTCTAAATCTTGGAATCAGACTGGGGTCATTGATTCTAATTAGCAACAGACCAGCTCCTTATCCCACGCAGGTCCTGTGGAGCTGAAGAAAATGCACCTGGTCTGCCAAGTCAGAGCTTGCATTTAATTTGGGGAGGGAAATGTGGAGACTACACTTGGCCAAATCCTCCTGCCAAGCTCTGTCTAGGGCATCAGACAGCCAAAAGAGGGTAGAGGATGGGTAAAAAGTAAGGCAGAGTAGTCAGGGAGGACATATAAGTTATGAAGCTAGACAAAGCTGCAGGGAAATGTATGATAAGAAAAAGGTGAAAGAGGTAGGGAAGCACCAGAAAA
Organism: Homo sapiens; assembly: GCF_000001405.40. Classification (NCBI taxonomy): domain Eukaryota; kingdom Metazoa; phylum Chordata; class Mammalia; order Primates; family Hominidae; genus Homo; species Homo sapiens. Next base: position 59,563,155 of record NC_000002.12, read on the forward strand.
TCCAAGGTGATAAAATCAAAGACAACGTTTCAAAGGACATCACTTTGTTCCCTGCTATTGTCCTGGGCTTCCTACTTTCATAGCAATCTACAGATCATTTAATCACTTAACATTTACCAAACACCTACAACAGGCCACGCACTGTAAGAGGAACTTTGCTTTTACCGTTTTGCTTAATTCTTGCAGTAATCCTCTGTGCTTGGCTATTTTACATATAAGTTTGAGGTTTAGAAAAAAAGTAAGTCCCACCTCTAGTTAATTGCAAGGTCATAATTCAGTTCTAGGTTTGTCTGACTCCAAAGCTCATACATTTTCCACTATACCAATAGTGTAAAAATAGTAAGAGAGTGCCTCATCAACTTCTGCAAGGGGGAAATATTTTTAATCAATACTTTAATGGAAAGGCCAGTGCTGGAACAATGTATCACTTTAGGGAAAATCCCTCTGAGATGGAGGTCCAGAAAAACATGCTGCTCGTTTTAATACTACTTGTGAAATTTCCAATAGGGGAAATTTGGGGGGCTCTATTTCTCAAAAGTTTCATGTGATAGAACACCTGAAAACAGGAATGTTCATTGTGAGCTAACATAAAAAACTGACGTAGAAAATGCAAAATAAATGTATACTTCATGCTAAAATAGGCATGATTGCACATCACATTGTAGCTAGCAAGCACTGTTTCTAATTTTAAAGAATGCAGAAAAAAAACAAAATCGAGAAAATAATGCATTGAGTTTACTCTATCCCACATTAGGATACCAGGTTTTCGCACAAAATTTGGGAACCTGTACTTAAGAGAATGGCTTGTCCTACAATCGGCTTGAAGTTTTGAAATGCAGGGTGAGCAGGTAGTGATAGGAAAAAAGTTACCAAAATTCTCAATTCCCAGAAGTTTCTAATTACCAGAAGTTTGAAATTCTCACAAAGAAGTGCAAATCCTCACCTGACTGAACATGGTTAGAAATCTGAACTTACTAAAATTTATAGATTATTAGAGTATAATAGAGCATGGAGAGAATGTAGCAGTGCAACTAGAAAAAAAAAACTATTTTGTTAATAGCTATTAAGTTTCATGTTGGTTTTTTTTTGAGTTTCCTATGTATTTCTCAGTGGCTGTAATTTTTTTCTCAAACTTTTAGAACACATGCCTTTTGATGATTCTAAATGTATTCATTTGAACTCTAAGAAAAACTCCAACATTCATATTTACAGTACCTTCATTCGGAAGTGTGTTCCCCACCAAAATCACTAATAACTGGAAGCTTCAAATTACCTTTGGACTCCCTTTACCAGTAATGACATATTGTAAAGTTTTGACTTTTAGAAACTGAGTTATAAAGAAATAATTATTGTGTCACTGTTGTGTCCAATATTCTCCATTTTGCCTACAAATTCTTTTCTTCTCTGTTCCATATCCCACAGCCTGGTGTCCTCAAATTCCCTTACAGGGGCTCTCTTGCTCCTAGTTTCTAGTGTGGTTCAGCCAATGAGAGGCATCCGGTGGGAAATCAGAGAGTGGGAGGAGGGATAGGTTGTGCTCCATGTCGCCCTTGCTTCCTCTCCATGAGCAGTGTTGGCCGTGGCTTTTCCCTGGAGCCCACTATCCAATGGTGTATTTGTTTCTGAGGGTTGCCACAACAAATTACCACAAAATAGGAGGCTCAAAACAATAGTAATATACTCTTTTCAAGTTCTGAAGGCTAGGAGTCTGGAATCAAGGTATCAGGAGGTCTGTGCTCCCAACAAAGGCTCTGGAGAGAGTCCTTCTTTGCTCTTTCAGCTTCTGGTGGTTCCAGGCATTTCTTGGCCTGTGGCTACATAACTCCCACCTTTGTCCCTGTCTTCACATGGACTTCTCTCCTTTCTAAGCACGTGTATTCTCTTCTTTTATAAGGACAGCTGTCATTGGATTTAGGGCCCACTTGATCCCACCAGGATGATCCCACCTTGAGAACCTTAATTACCTCTTCAAAGACTTTTTCCGGGTAAAGTCACATCTACAGGTTTCAGGTGAACGTATCTGTCAAGGATCCTCCATTCAACCCACTATAAATGACTATAGCTCTGACGAGTCCTGGTCTTTGTTGTCTCTTCCTCTCCTCTGGGCTCCCTGCTATTGCCAGGTCCTCCATACTTCATCATCCCTTGTCGAGAGACCCCCTTAACTCTTCCCAGAGCTATGAAAAGAAATGCCTGCACGAACCTTTCTTCTACTTGCATTAAACTTATTATTTTAAGTATACATGGACCCTGACTAAGATAGTAATATAAATTATATATTACAGTGCTGAAGATGCATTTGAAAAACTAAACACAATCTTATCAACTGAGATTATGACATTATTTCCCAGTCTCAGCCCACCCTGCCCTTAATGGAATACATCTTCCATGACTCATTCAGTAGAATTCACCACTTAAAATTTGGGAAAGCACCTATAAAAAAGCCAAACGGGCAGAGCTTCTGCTGTATTACAGTGAGATATTTTCCATTTGGGCACATGGTAGGAAAAAAGGGGATAATCTTTATAATGAAACTCTCCCCACCCTCCAAAGCATAATGAACTTCCATGAATATATTTACATATGTTTTAACCACCCCCCACCTCATAACAGAAAAATTCAGGCAACTAAACTCTAGCAAAATGGATTGTTTGGCACCATGAAGATCAATCACATTATCTATAAGGTTGGTGCAAAAGTAATTGCAGTTTTTGCAATTAGAAGTAATGACAAAAAAATGCAATTACTTTTGTTTCAAACCTGATATCACCCTTCACAATTTTAAAATTATCTCTTTAATTCTGTGAGAACAGAAACTTATACTCATTTGCGTTTTCACTCCTTTTTGGTGCTTAAACATTCAATTTTTTTCTCTCATTGCGATATCAGCTCTATAGAAACACATATTCAATGCATTTTATTTGCCAAATTAAAAAAAATTCTGGCATAACACTTCCTTTAGAAATTATCTTTTTAGAAAAAAATACTAATTTTCTCACTTTTAGAATAAATGAGTTGATGAGTTGGACTAGATGATTTGATCTATAAGGCTGCTTTCTGGAGTATCTTGGGATTTACATAAATTGGCCCATGGAACTGAGCTCCTCTATCATGTCATTACCATGATGTCACAAGGAATCCTAAGGCCCTGAGGGCTCCCATTGAATAAGGCAAAGTTGTTTAACTTTCCAACTAAACTTAAAAAGTGTTGTATGTGTCTGGATTAAATTCTATTCATGGAATCTGCCTCCTGCTGATAAAGGCCAAAACTGGTCTAAAACTCCCTGTGGCCACTGCTTTAGCAAGTTCCAATCAAACATCCCACCACACCAGTACAAAAACAAGCAAATGCACAGAGATAGGCCTTATGACTACCCCTGGATTTCCCCTGTTCTGTGGTACTTAACCCTATCAAATTCCATTTGCTTCACATTCCAGGCCATGCTTCTTCCTGCCAGGTGTGTGTACCTGAAGAAACTGGATGCAAATAGTCTATTGAAACTATGCTGTTAGCAGAAGGTCTATGTCATCATTCATTCATTCATTCATGCCAAATCTCCCAAGCATGTCATTTGTATCTTCAGAAATAATGCTTACTATTTCCTAGACAAACTTCCAATATGGTATCATCTCTTAAAAATATCTAAATTGAATCTTCCCTATATGGTTTTCACATAACAACTTAAAGGGAGTAGTGAAAGAAAAATGATATTTAGCAAATGGAGAAAACGCATACACAAATGTGCATATCCATGCATATACATATGCATATGTGAAATATGTGTGTATATATTTAAAATTATGGTTTGAAGGGCGTTTGCCAAAATTCAGGGCTTTGTGTAAAAATAGCTCTATGTCTGCATCAGTTAGTTTCTCTTGGAAACTTTAAAAAAATATAATATTTTTTGATGGCTTTACCCTGCACTGGCCAGCTACATTAAGATAACAGTAAACTACATTCTTATGGCTGTCATAACATTTAGCTTGGTGCTGCTTGCAATGTGAGTAATCTATTAAGATATATAAGGTGCAAAATGCTGCCTTTGTGTCTTGGAGTTCTAGCTATCAGCTGTAAAAACCAAGTGCAATTACTGCCAGTGTGGGGCCTGGCTGCTTTCCACCACAGACCTCATTGGCCAAAGGGTTTGCAGCGGTGACCCCTGGCAGCCTTGGCCACTGCCACTGGGGCCGCCCAGAGCTCCTTCTCCTCGTCTCTCTTCCCTCCACTCCCTCCCCTTTCCTCTTTCTTGCCTGTCATCAATCTTACTAAAATGACAGCAGACAGATGTTAGCCTTTGCAAAGATCAAATGAAATCTATAGCTCTGGGGCTGTTCACCAAGGAGCAAAGCAGTCTACACCCGATGCAGGCACTCGCACCGGCAAAAACCCACCTAGAATCAATTTGCTAGTAACTGCAAGTGTCTCTCCATAGGCATGGGCCATTCAGAAATGGATTTTGGCAAAATGTTGTGCTTTGGTTGCTTCAGAGAGGTTTGGAGATGGACGGTCAGAGTTTTTTACAAGAGTGTGTGTGTGTGTGTCTGCGTGTGTGTGTGTGGACATGGATTTGAAAACAATTACTAACGCTCAGTTTCAAGAAGACAGTATTTAGTTTGGCCACAAACTCATGGTTTTTAACCCCTTCTTCCAAAAGTTGAACTGTACCAAGGGCCCTCCTGCCACTTGCCCTTGAGTTTTCAAATTTCTCTTACTGAGAAAACATTACTCCATAGTGTAACTATGCTGAATGTGCCCTTGTCTCATGCAATTTCTTTACATCAATGTACAGGACTATTTATCCCCAATAGAAATGTTTACCTAATCTGGAAAATGTCAGGCCATATGGTGTACATTGCACGAATTTCATCCATTCTTTTTAACTCTTTCTGAAAGTCTTTTTCTCCCTGCTGCCCCTTTGTTGTGGACCAGGCAGAAATGATTAAAGGGGGATAGAAATCAGAAGAGAGGGGGCAGGATGGAAAGGAAGCCGGGAGAAGCACAGATGGGCATGGGGGAGGTTTCTTCCTTTGCTGAATGCCACATCTCATAGACCAAAGGCCAAAGAAATCTCAGGATTGAAGCAACCTTTGTACGAAGTTAGAGCAAATCTACAATAAGAAAACAAATCACATCACCAGTGACCTAAAGATAAATATGATACATTATTAATAACAACAATCCCACAGGCTACCTGAAATTTAGAAAGATCAAATCACCTTTAGGCTATTTCCCTCATCACTTCCTAGAAATAATGAAGTCGTAACTGCATGAAGAAAAGAGCAACCCTCCGGTACTTTGAGCTGAAGCAAATGTTTCTGTAACGTATCTTTCTACAGTATCTTGGTAAAAGATAGATAGCTATTTAAAATAAGCGATATCAAGGAAGAATAAACTATTATGTTTGTGCCAATGCTTATTCATGGTTTTATAACAAGACATATCTGTTTTCTTCATATAAATCTTGACTCTATATTTAGAGTTTGCAAACAATGATTCTAGTTTTTGGCTGCCTGCCACTTCTGATAGAAAGCTGGGATAGCCGTACTACATTACTATAACATTAAAAAAACTCCCAAAATTCCATGTGCAGAACTTCCTAACAGGCAAGAGAAAAATATAAAGTATTCATATGTGTACAGAAGAGGAAGGAGGGCAAAGGGTTTCAAATTTCAAGGTGGGACCTGAGCATGTTACTTTTTAGTCAGTCTTCCTAAACCAAGGGTATCTTCCCCAACTGTAGACACTGAGTAGGAATCACCACCTCAGTTCTTTTCTGGACTTCATACCACTTTCATGACCTCTACTCTGTATTAGCCACTCAATTCTTAAACGATGGTTCAGCACCCACAAAACACTTGGCAAAGAGTGCCAATTTTAATAGTGTCAATAATAATGTCAAGTAATCTGATACATTTTAGAAGCTCAAGCTCCCTCTAAAAAATTCTTGTCTCCTCTTTTGTTTAACATCTAATAGTTCTGAAAACATTTAGGGGATACCAGAAAATTATTATTAACTTTTTTTGTTGTTGTTGTTATTGTTCTAGGGAAAGGGAAGAAGAAAGCAATAATCTCTAGGACAGGAAATTCTGTGGACTTTGTAATCTAGCAGTGTTTTTGGAGGTGTGGAGTTAGCTTGGGAGAGTTCATTCATTCAATTATAGTTTGCTCATTCATATATTTACTCAACCCATAAATGCGTGCTGCTTTCCCCAAGCACTCTGCTGAGTACTGAGGACACAAAGCTCAAAAGCAGGATCTCTCCCTCAAGGATTTCCCAGTAGAAGGAGAAAGACACCCAAATAAACAGGCTACTGCAGCCTGTTGATAGGTAGCACAGCCAGTGTGATAGGTAGCACAAGAGATGGATGCTTGGGGATCAGTAATCTCAGTGACCAAGAAAACCTAACTCTGCCTTGGAGTGTCAGGGAAGGATATTGAGAGGTGATATCTCCTAAGCTATATTAAAAAAAGAAAAGGCAACTGTGGCAAGCCAGGACAAGGACACAAGCATGTGAGTAGCTTGGTGTGGTCACATGGTGCAAAAGGTGGTGGGATGGTTGGAGGAGATTGTGGCAGCAGATGAGGCCAGTGAAGTAGAGAGTTAAATCCTGAAAAGCCTTTTGGTCGTCTAGAATACTGTGGCTGAGGTGAAAAGACTTCAGCAGCTGTTATGGAGCCACCAAAATTCTGAGCAGAAAAATTCTGATGGGAATTATAGGAAAGCATCAAAGGCCAATGATAGGAAATTATAGGAAAGGCCAGTCTTTCTTAACCTGCAAAAGACTTACATAGATACAAGAACTAAATGCAGTGGCTGAATTGTAGCACAGTGCCAAGATTCAAGCCCATAATTTTACATCATACCAAAGTGAAAGATACCAACGGCCCTCAGTCTTGAGATTAATTCAGGAAAACACAACTGACTCAGGCAAAATGAGAAAGGAAATTTTAGAAAAGGGGAAAAAATAGAGTGGGTAAGAAGTCACAACGAACCAGATTTTAGGAAAATCTTTATATTAGTCTGAATGAACTCCAGTCACTAAATTGGATGTATTACTAGTAAATTGTTTCTTACTGTAAAGGAGGAAAGGAAAGCAAGGGCAGCTGATTTAGAACCAGTCACTCTGACGAGAGTGAATAACCAACCTAGGTTATTTTAGACACCACAATTTCTAAATCACATCTAGGGAAGAAAAAATCAAATGCATTAGTCCCATTTACAACCAATGTTGTTCAGCATATCAATTAAAGGCACAAAGTGCTTTCCCACATTCCTTCCACCCAATTTTCAAATATTTATTGGTGCATTATACTGAACATTTCATCACAATTAGTGTGGAAGTGATACAAGGCCCATAGAACACACTGAGCTTTTCATTATGAAAGTGGATTGAGCAGGACAAAGACTAAAATGTTAATATCTTAAAAACAAGAGCATTAATTATTAAACAGAAGTAGTAATATATGGAATTATCTGAAAGAGAAATGGAATGTGCCATTTAGCCAGTTTTAAATTCCCCATTAGTGTATTTCTAATAACAGCCTTATTAAGTTATATAGATAGTTGAGAAATATATCACCAACTCAGATGTCATAAATAAGAGATTGTCAACAGACTCACAAGTCAGAATTAGAATTCCACTTGGGTTACCTTGATCCTTATTTTGAATGACTCGGAATGAGGTGAAATTGAAAACAAAGAATAACTACAGTAAATTTTGAAATGTAGACTGATCTTCACAGCTAGATAAAATCCTGAAACATAAAAAGAAGGAAGAAATGAATGGAGGAAGGAAGAAGAGAAAGAAAGAGAAACAGAAGGAGAGAAAGAATAGAAAGAGAGAGAAGGAAAGAGAGGAAAAAAAAGAAAGAGAGAGAAAGTGAAAGAGAATGAGAGAGGAAGGAAGACAGAAGGGAGAAAAGGAGGGAGGAAAGGGGAGAAAAGGAGGGAAGGAAGGAAGGAAGAAAGGGAAGGAAGGAAGGAAGGAAGGAAAGAAGGCAAGGAGGGAGGGAGGAAGACAGGCATGCAGACTGTGGTTCCTGGGTACTCTCAGCTCATAGATCTAATTGCCATGAAAATAACTATTTATAGAACCATTAAAATAGACAATGAAGAGTTGTGTATGTGTGTGTTTTAAATTCAATTAAACTCTTTATTATCTCTCAATGAATGTTTAAGGACCAAACACTAATGTTAACAAAGATAGAACCTATCTTTTTAAAATCCTTTTTGTCCACCCAGTACCTCTGTAAAATGTTCAGATATCTCAGGAGAAATTACACAAGAGTGTAAGTCACCCTCTTTCAATGTGTAAAAGCTTCCTTGTGAGTCTTTCTTTGCCCCCATCTGACTGCTGCTGTTTGTTCCTTAACAGATCTGGCTCTTGGAGCCAGAGGCAGAAGGGAGGAGCTGGGGAAGACAGCCCAAGAAGGAAGCAGTAGAAAACGCCTTTCTCTCCTAAATACTTGCAAACATTAAGTGTTTAGTAATTCTTATGATGGAAAGGAACACTACTGAGATCTTCATCTCAAATATATCAAACCGCCTTACCCGATTTATGTTACCAACTTAAACTTAGTTCTAGTCTCGTTTTTCCAATATGCTACACATCAGAATGACTGCAAGCTATTTGACTTTAAATTTGCCTCCTCATATCATTCTAAAATTTACTCTATTGAGGTGCTTTGGAACAAAAACGTTTTTTCTTTATCAGTGTCCTTAAAGTTTGAAAAAGATGTCAAAATTGTACATTCTCATAATGGATTAAACATTGCCACCTATAGCTGATATCAGATTTTCTAAAAATGGTGTGTAAAAGAACACTAATACCTCCAGAAAAATAACAAAAATGTCTAATTCAGTTCCTTCTTATTACTCAAGATGAGAACAAAATAATGATAATGAAGAAGTAACAATAACTATGGAGCACAATATTTACTGAGCCAATCACTTCATGTGCATTAACTTATTTAATTATCATAGCTTCTGTAAGCGCCACTCTCTCTCGGATCAGCGGCCAGCCTGTTGCTACAGGAGCATCTGGGGGCTGCATAAAACTTCTAGGGTGGAATAAATGTCCCATCATGGGCTCTGGGCTCTGCACTGCAGTTCCTCAGGGGTTAATCCATGCCATTCCAAAGTTCAGTGAAGGGACAATCAGAACTCAACAGCGAGGATTTTAGAATGTTAATCGTTGGCTCTCCTCCGATGGGCCCAGAACAAATGCAGTGTACAGTAAATTGTCCTTGTCAGCTCAGCTCACATGATGATATGCTTTATTTCTAGACATGCCTTGAATCTGTCCCCTGAATTTATGTTCAGAAAATAAACACTTCCAGACGGCAATAAAGCATTCAGTTGTGGCTGGCAATTGCACAGCCTCAGACCAACCAAAGTTCTTTTCTTGGGAGGTTTTAAGGGTTTGAGCAGTCTAGTTTCCAAAATCCTATTTCCTCCACTTACCAGCCTGGCACCAAAATGTGCTATTACAACCAGGACCCCAATGTCAGGACTGTTCCCCTTTTTGCTTTCCCATTTCTACTGTCTTTTTTTTTTTTTGTCCCTCACTCTCGCCTTTAAAATTTTTTGCTGCGAAGACTTGCACTTTGGGTCCCATTCAGGCAAAAATTTCCTTTATGGCCAAGTATTCAAATTTAAAGGAAGTTTGCTTAACAGTTAAGCAATGAATCTATTTTATTTATCAACTGTCATAAACCAAGATATATTATAACTAGGAAATATAATCATGCTTCCCAAAATTTAGGTAGACACTTAGCACATTTATAATTTTCATCCATATATGAGTAGTATTTCTATCGTTATTTACTCTTTCATAAAATTACTTGAAACCAGGGCCAGGAGTGGTGGCTCACACCTGTAATCCTAGCACTTTGGGAGGCCAAGGCAGGAGAGGCCCAGGAGTTTGAGATCAGCTTGGGCAATACTGGGAGACCTGGAATATGTTTTTTTAAAAAATTACTTGAAATCAACTCCCATTTTATTGCTTAATCTTGTTCTAAGATATAAATCAGGGATGTGATAGCTGTGCATATGTTTTCTAATACACCTAAAAATATATACCACTATTACATTATTTTAAACTCATTAATATATCCCTAAAGTCATTGCCCACATCACCAGTATGCATGTCATGCACTTGAAGAAATACAATTCCAGAACAATGCAAAGATTCCAGAGAAGATAAAATAACCACAAGATAAATAAATAAATTACAATAGTAATAAAGATATCAAAGATTCAGGATATGAGTTCATTTCATAGAAGCTAAATTAAACAGCTGTTTCATTTTCACCTAAGGTGGCCAATGGGACAGCTTGTATTTAGGTGATTTGCTGATTAGATTGTGTGTGATGGTCTCTGGGTGTTACTGATAAACACCCAGCCAGACTGCAGTGTTTCTTTGCACCTTGTAATTCTTATGATCACACTCTAACTCTGCCTTAGTATCCCTGGATGACATCCCCTTGGCAAAACTAAATGGAAAGGGGACAACCTCTGACAGAAGAAATAGAGAAGGCAATGCCAAGGGGAAAATAATAGGGCCTCATTGCAGTTTTGAGATTTTGGGGATTGAACTAGGATTGACATCTGTCTTTTAAACTTGCATAAAGGAAATCCAGTGACTTCTGGTCCTAGGTGAAACTCTGTAAGAGCCATGATAAGTAATTAAAACCATGTCGTTTGGCAAAGAATAAGTTGCATCAGATGTTAGTGTTTCAGCTATTAATACAGGTTGCTACTGAACCACAAAGAGCCATTCCCCTTCATGGATTCTCTCTTTTATTGTAGTAACACTGCATATCCTCTCCTCTTCCAGAGAGTACTACAGAAACCCATCAGAAGGGATTCATAGAACCTTCTTATATTCTGCACCAAGAAACTATGACATCATTACAGCTCACACATGGAACAACTTTAGTGTAAACAGTAAGTTAAGATCTTACTTGCCTCAAATAAATGGTTGAAGACTCTGTTCCTACACTGCAACTTTCTTTTTACTATCTCTCTGCTTTTTAATTAATATTATTAGCCTAATACCACTTATGTTAAGCCTGACCTAAACTTCTCACTTCAGGAAGCTAAAGAAGGTTTTGTGTTTTCTTGGTCCGGCCTCCTTGATCATTGTTGTCTATAAGCAAAGATTTTCTAATTAAGATACCACAAAAGCTTGGGGTTAGAGAAAATAAACTTTAAGTTAGAAAGGGTTAAGAGGAAGTTGGTCACAGTGGCTCACGCCTGAAATTCCAGCAATTTGGGAGGCTGAGGTGGGTGGTTCACCTGAGGTCAGGCGTTTGAGACCAGCCTGGCCAACATGGCGAAACTCCATCTCTACTAAAAAATACAAAAATTAAGTGGGCATGGTGGTGCACACCTATAATCCCAGCTACTCAGGAGGCTGGGGCAGGAGAATTGCTTGAACCTGGAGGGTGGAGGTTGCGGTGAGCTGAGATCATGCCACTACACTCTAACCTGGGTGACAGAATGAGATCTGTCTCGAAAAAAAACCAGAAAGGTTAGGAGGAATATTAAAATAAGTTGCAAATTGTGACAGCTGTCCAACTAAATTAGAAAGAAAGGCATAGAATTTTATTATTCTTTACTTATTCAATTAACTAATATTTATTGAGCATCAACCACATATCAGGTACTAGTGATACAATGGTGCACAAGATAGATAAAGTCCCTGGCCTCCAGGAGACTGTGTTCCAATAGAGGAAAAAGACAAAGAAAGTAGAAAAAAAAGAAACATAACAAAAAGTTTCCAAGTTACATGAAGTAGAGAATAAAAGAAGTCCATTTTAGTGTGGTTAAAAAAAACCCTGAGGGAGTCTAAGACCCAAAGGAAAAGGAGCTTACCACAAAAAGAATATTCTAGACAGTGACAATTTGTGTTAAGATTATGAGCAGAAAGATGATTGGCAGAGTCAAGGATTTGAAGGGAGACTAGTGTGACTGGAGGGTTAGGGTTAGGGAGGCCACAGTGGAACAAGTGAAACTGGAGAGTTAGGTAGGATGCAATCCCAGAGGATCTTGTAGGCTTTGAGAATGAGTTTAGAAGTGCTTTTTGTTTGTTTGTTGATACATGTATTAACAGTCAAAGAAGAATTTTAATCAAGAGTCAAATTTTTTTGCAATTTGAAGTTGAAGAAAACTAGAGTGCCTGCTATATAGAGGGTAGATGGCTGAGATAAGAGTAGAAATAGGAAGCTGTGTTGGAGGCTGTGTTCCAGATGAGAGATGATGGTGGTCAGGCTAGGAGGAAGGCGTGGAAGACAGAAAAGTGATGCAATTCAAAAATATATATTAAAAGTGGTCTTGGTGAATTTGCTCACAGGTTAGAAGTGAGGATGATATGGGGAAAAGGAGGGCACCAAGGATAATTCCTAGATTTGTGACTGAGCAGCTAGAACCATAATTGTGTTTACTGATATGTGAAAAACTAAGAAGAAAGCAGATGAGAGAAACGAGCTGGATCATAATTTTAACTTTGAACAAGTCATGGTTGGGTCAATAGTGAGGCACCTGAATTGTGGTCTTAAGCATAAAGTTGAATGAGTGAGCCCAGAGCTGGGGATAGACTTTGAGAAATCATTAGCATAGGAACTTTTTTTTAGTGGTACGTGGTAAGACTCTGTCCTCCATCTTATATTATTCTACATTTTTATTTATAAACATTAAAAGGACATAGAAATTAATAGAACATACGTTTATTGTTTGTAAGTTTTAATCCCAATTGCACTTACTTCATGAAATATTTCAACACCCTTCTCATCCAATTTAAAAATGGCACACTATACAGAATGAATATCAAGCAATTTGAAAAGCCGACTCAATATTTAAAATCTCTTTGACGGGCTGTATTGGTAGCCTATAGCTAATAATTACCATACATTTATGACAGAGATACAACCACCAAATATCTTAGGTTAGTTATCTATTGCCCAAATAATGCTATGTAAAAGTCACCATAAAATCTCAGTGGAGGTCGGGAGTTCGAGACCAGCCTGACCAACATGGAGAAATCCCATGTCATTGGGTCAGCTTACTGGTTCCAAGAGGAAAATGAGATGAGGTGAAATTTGGGAAATTCTGAATGATCTAGTGTATTCTTAGAAATTGATGATGACCATTAGTATATCAGAAATTTTGGGATGATACCAAGGAAGAAATGTTTTTAATTTTGCTTGGCCTAGCATTGCCTAACCATATTCAAACACAGCCAAAGGAAGAAAAAGTATGAACCATGTAGAACCCAGAAGAGGTACATCACTTCTGCCCACATGCCATTGGCCAGAACTCAGCCATATGGTCACACCTAACAATAAAGGAGGCCAGAAAATAAAATCTAGCCGTGCCCAAAAGGGAAAGGAATTGTATTCTTGGGAACAACTAGTTTTTGCCACAAATACCAATTAATAACATCTTGAAGAACAAATGTTGCACAAACCAGACTGAATTGTATGCCATATGCTTTACCTATTTGAAGTATGATTAGAGACTTTCTAAATTCCAATTCTAACACCTACAAGTTTATCTTTAAGGTATGCTTAGGTAATGCAGTAGACAGCTATTCTGCTCTAATTTGATAAAGTAAAATAAATACTCTGAAAGATTTTATTTCTCTTAATTACAACATTAAGGAAGCAATATTAAATCTTAATTCAGAAGTAGAAAGAAAAGAGTATGAGACTGTAAAGCTTAGGTCTAGATCCCTCTACTCTTTTAGATTAACACAGAAATAGAGGTTAGAGATTTGAAAGAAATGGGTTGTTCATGACCCATTCGACAGTCTTTCTTATATATCAGATGTCTCAAACAAGCTTTGGATTAGTAATGGCTCAAATTCAATTAATGGTTGAATCATCTAATGAATATTTGCAATGTTGATATCCATGCTTTGAGTTGAAAAAGTATGAACATGATTTGGTGTTTAGGCAGGCAAGAAGCAGACTGGCATTTGAGTGTGAAAGTTCTAAAACCTGGCTTGCTTTTTCTCCAAGGCACACAGTCAGCTACTAGCCTAAGAATAGGTCATGGGGCTATCCTGCTTGAGGGTAGAATCAGGAAGTTCCTGGAAGAGAAGTAATGAGTTAACTCTAGCACTGTGAGATCCACAGAGGTGATACCCTAGAGTTCTGAATCCATCATGTGGATTTGGAAAAACAGTAAAGACAGTTTTACTAATAGTTGTATTGTCTATAAAGGAACCTAAATACATGTGGAATAAAAGACTTTCCAAAGAAGACTTGTGTCCCTGTGGGCCCTCCAGGTTGAGTTAATTCAAAACCTATCTTGAAAAGTTTAACTGGTCAGTTCACAATTATCCCATTTATAGAATTAGAACATATCTCGGAAGTAATCTAATTTCCACATTTTTTAGGCGATAAACTTAAAGTCCACATATGCAAAGTCTCCTGGCAAAAATTACATGTAATTTGTGGCAGAACTGACCATAAACCTCATGTATCTAATGGAATTGCACAATGCCTAACTGATACCTTATTTCAAAGTATTTCAATGAGCTATTTACACTGCTATTTACGTAGCAAAGATGAAAATATAAAACATAAATTTGGGTTTTCTTCAAAACTTATTGAGTGCTGTGATAGGTACTGGTTTTACAGCAAGTAAAAAAAAGTCAGTTGTTGTAAGGACTAAATGAGCTAATATGGTGTGCACTTAGAATAGGGTTTGGCGAATAACAGATGATCAACAGATGTTTGCTGCTGTTGTTTGTTGTTGTTATTCCTGTTTTTATGGAGTTTCAGTAAGACAAGAAAACATTTCCTGGTTGGTTTCTTCTTTGTAAAGTCTCATGTACTGTGTTTGTGGCTTCATGAAATTTATTCCATAAGAACACCTGACACAAGCCCCCTATTCTTTCGTGGACTTCATTCCTGTGTAATTGCAATCCAGAGCTTGTTTGGTAAGGTGTTTCCTCAGAATATTTATATTTAGCAGCTGATTTGAAGCAAACAAATTTGTATTAATACTTTTTACTACGTTTTCTGAATTCACTAAGTGTGCAGTTGTAGCGGCTACTAATCTTTGCCAACAAAAGACAAGAAAGGAGGGAGGGAGGGAGAGAGATCAAATGATGATGATTCAGATTCTTTAATTTATAAATGCTAAGGAGGGTGAATGTTGGTATTGCTGGGACTACATAAATGAAGGAGATTCATATTTTTCCTTAGTGGGCTTTACTTACTAATGTAATGGGGATAAAGAAAGTGCAAAGATAACAAGATGCAGGTGAGAATGGAGAAGCAAAAAGTTCTCTAAGGGAACCAAAGAAACTCAGAAGAAATTCAGAGGAGGCAAGGCCACTTGCCTTTGAAATCATCAAGAGCAGTGACCGTTGGGTCAAAGAGGAAGGTGTTAAACTCATGATGAAACAGCACTTCCTCACATATTCTAATTGCACAGTTTGTTTGTTATAAAAAGATATGTTCCAAACTGCCTACTATTCTATTAGTACTTATTTGCCGGTCACTGAATGTGCACTTTATGCCTGAGCGAATTTCACTTCAAATGTTTCAGGTAGATCAAAGGTGTGAAGGGGCATAAACTCAGAGGTAATATTGTTATGAAAGATAAAAATTCAATGCTGAGTGACGGTGAAGGATTCAAAGGTATAAGACAGAAATATAACTTGAAAGAAGAAGGGGCTTATTTTGGGGAGACAGGGATGTCCCAGTGACAACTAGAGTTGTTTCAGGCTTTAGAAATTTTTACAAGTCAACATATGTTCTCAAACTTGGTCAACAAAACTGTTAAAAAATGTTTCCCCACTAAAGATAGGGAGCAACCTAGATCCATTTCATTTAATGGAGATCATCAGCTTCACCAATCAGCAACTGAGAGCCACAGGATTTTCCTCCACACAGCAATCGTGGCAAGCCAATAATGTAGTTCAAGTTATTAACTGTAAGTTAAATGTGGAAATGGGCTAAGAAGGACACTCAGTTGATATCAAATATCTATTTTAAAGAACTAAGGCAAATTAATCTGATCTTTAGCCAGACATTTTTGTTTGTTTGTTTGTTTTTGTTCAATTTATCTAGACTCTTGATAAGAGCTAATTGGTTATTTTGACGATATTAAACTCTTCTCTTACATATAACATTTTAGAATAATATCACTAGAAAATAACAATTTATTGTGCATCTCTATTAACTTCCCTCTATTTTGAGAACCATGTTAATACCATAAAAAATCAGTGTCCACAGGTTTCCAACTATTTGGGCATGCTAAACTATTTTTAGACAACTTACTACTTTTATCTACTTCTGTTCATTCATGCTTTCATTCCATTGGCATTGATTATCTATTACATGCCAGTTACTCTTAAGTCTGGAATATGAAAAAAGACTGACAAAGACATGTGCCGGTCCTCTTTGCTACTCTTCCAGATTCAATCTCTACTTTTCTCCTCCTTGCTCTATTTAATGGAAGCATGATTCTTATGGACTTTATCAACAGGCTCCTTTGAGCTCTGCACCAATGGGATGCACTGAAAGGAGAGAAGGATTGGGGTGGGGTCATTTTTGCCACTGGTCCCCTCTCAGATTGCTTGGTGCTGATTGTGTCCTTGTATGAAGGGCGCACTCCTATAAAAAGGTGTTTCCCGGCCAGGTTCAGTAGCTCACGCCTGTAATTCCAGCACTTTGGGAGGCCGAGGCGGATGGATCACAAGGTCAAGAGATGGAGACAATCCTGGCTAACGTGGTGAAACCCCGTGTCTACTAAAAATAAAGAAAAATTAGCCGGGCATTGTGGCGGAGCTTGCAGTGAGCCGAGATTGCACCACTGCACTCCATCCTGGGCAACAGTACAAGACTCCGTCTTAAAAAAAAAAAAAAAAGTGTTTCCCATGTGGCATGGCTACACTTGCTAGAACTTTCTAGATTCTGATGTCTGCTCCAACACCAAGAGGTGTTTTCAGGCCCATAGTACTACACTATTTTTTTAATACAAAATTTAAATAGCCCCTTTCTTAAACTGCTAAAATACTCAGTTTGAGAATGGCCCGTTTTTTTTCCAGGACTCCAGCTGATACACCATGTTTCTTTCCTTCAAGGAATGGATGCTGGTGGGTAAGAATATACCCTGAATGAACATCCAACAATGTTAATAGTCACAAATTTTCTAAGCCTTATTGGATTCAGATATTTGTAATGTTGTCCCAGCTGATAAAAGTAACCTATGACACTAACTCTTTCTCTGTTGGAAATGTGCTCATAGAATTTTTTCATCATTTCTAGATGCAAATATATTTCCTGTCAAGCATTCCTATGGAATCTTAATGGTTACAAATACTCTGCTTTCTTTTTAGAATATATAACAAAGACATTGCAATGGTTTACAATGGATTGGTGTGGGAATGCCATGCAAGGCTTATGTGTGTGTTCTGTCTAAACAGGACCCATGGTAAAAATCCATCCTCTATTTCACATCTTCCATGCTAGCATATCCACACATCCACATATAATCAGGAAACAATAAAAAATCCACATTGGGATGGAGCTGGAGGCCATTATCCTAAGCCAACTAACACAGAAACAGAAAACCAAATATCCCATGTTCTCACTTATAAGTGGGAGCTAAACACTGACTACAGATGGACACTCAGAAGGGAGCAACAGACACTGGGGCCTACCTGAGGATGAAGGAGGGAAGAGGATGAGGATAGATAAACTACCTATCAGGTACTATACTTATTACCTGGGTGACTAAATAATTTGTACACCAAACCCCCATGACACACAATTTACCTATGTAACAATACTGCACATGTACCCAGAACCTAAAATAAATTTAAAAACCACATTGGCCTTTCTTTTCCCATTCACAATCTTTTCTGTTTCATTTTCTCTACCAAAGACATGAAATCTCTCTCATGCCTCCTGTATGGAGTTCTAACAAATTTTTGATGGTTTTACTATTCTCCTTGGGTTTCCCCCATGTTTCCCTTTTATCTTTTTTAAACAGATGAAGTCTTCCTAACTAAAGGCAACACTCAAGGTGACTTTTTAATTCCCTGTTTCCTGAATGACTATTAAGATGTTTTAATATATAACAAAGACATACTATTTTTCACATTATCCTTGATTTCCTTCTTAATACAACCCAATATCTTATTTATTTACAAAATTTTTTTCCTGTATGTCATGTCAACATATTCTTTGAGCCGTCGACTGTGACTTCTCGATTTCTTTCTTGAGAGGCTGTAGGTAATTCAGAAGCTATTAGTGTACTGTGTATGAGTAGTTTGAATTGGTTCTTCCACTGTGTCTTACCTTGAACTTGCAACACTGAATTCTATTCACTATCGTGGAGCTTGATTACTTAAATGCCTTTGGTCTTTCTGAAGTTCTCCCCACCCCTTATTCTTGACTACATCTATGTTTAGTATCTGAATAATTATGTGGTTAAATAAATTTGCTGCCCTGCCACTTCACCCCATCTTTCAGGTTGTTAATAAACTTACGGAACACCAGTGTCACTTGTGATCCAGAGGCCATCAACTAATTTCTGAGCTGATAACTAGTAATTTTTTGCAGCATCCTTCCTTTTAACCAGTTTTCAATCCAATACTGCTAGAATTCAAGTTTTATTTCCTTAAAGACACTTAAAAAGTCCATTATTATTCAGCAAAAATAAAAATAAAGCTATTACAAAGACACAGTCCATGTATTATCCTGACTTAACATTCGATAGCTTTCTTAAGATCTCAGCCCATGGCCACTAATTTAGAAAAAATAAAAATGAATGATTTCCCAGTTATTTCTTCTTATCAAAAAAGTTTTTTTTTTTTTTTTAATAATCAAGAGGTAAGGCATCATGGGATATAAGTTAATATTAAAGGCAATTTTCTAACCTATTGAGACTCATCAAACTATGCATTTATTAATATTTACATGTGGAATGCACTGTACTAGGTACTCTCATCCAAATAAAGAAGTTTAAAGGCTACATTTCTTACTTGCCTTAGGGGAAATAAAACATAAGCAAAAACTTAACAAATGTGCCTTTAAAGAGTTATGTAAGAGGACGGGCGCGGTGGCTCACGCCTATAATCCTAACACTTTAGGAGGCTGAGGCGGGTGGATCACAAGGTCAGGAGTTCAAGACCAGCCTGGACAAGATGGTGAAACCCTGTTTCTACTAATAATACATAAATTAGCTGGGTGTGGTGGTGGGCGTCTGTAATCCCAGCAACTCAGGAGGCTGACGCAGAGAATTGCTTGAACCCGGGAGGTAGAGGTTGCAGTGAGCTGAGATTGCGCCACTGCACTCCAGCCTGGGTGACAGAGTGAGACTCTGTCGCAAAAAGAAACAAACAAACAAACAAACAAAAAACAGAAAAAAAAAAGAGTTATGTAAGAATGCATGTAGCAATATGGCAGAATTCCAAGGAATAAATTAAAAACAATTTAATGTTAATTGTCAAATTAATGTTAGAAGCAATAAATACTAAGGGTTCTCTGAAGGTAAAATCTTACTTGATAGGTTTCATGGTGGTGTAGAAAGAACATGGACTTTGGAATCAGACTTTGGCTTGAATTTTCTCTGTCACCAATAAACACATTTGATCTTAGCAATTTATACACTTTCTGAATCTCAGTTTTCTCAGAAAAAAACAATGCCCAAATTATTTTAAAAATTGAATGAAAGGACATATGCAAGGCCCCTAGCAGAGTGCCAGCATAGTGTTCAATGCATTAATTCCATATGCTTTCTCTTAACTAAGAGAAAGCACATAAACTGAACATTAAATTATATGTAGGATGATTAAGTGGAATTTTGACAGGTGTGGGTTCCTTGAACAGATGCACAAGGTGAGACAATAATATGTAAATCTAAACACAACAAACACATAGACTAATTTAACTAGAGCTGAAATGTTCTTAGGGGCATACATGAATGAACAAGATTAGGTATCTAGGTTTTTACCAGGTTTTGGAAGACCTTGAATCATAGTCTAATGAGATGAATCTTGAACAAGAAATGCATAAAGTAACCCCAAGTATAATAATTTTTTTTCTCCAGAAAGATTGATTCTCATACCCTCACTTCCATGGGGGGAGTATACTTTCTCATTCTACTGAGGTTAGTCTTGCTCATGTTACTTGCTTTGGCCTCACAATGGGTGGTTGTTCTTCCTCATTCTTTTCTTCATATCTGGGTTTGACCATGTGACTCTCTTTGGCCAATGGAGCATGACACACAGGATGAAAGAAGAGACTTGTAAAGTATTTGTAAGTTAGGCTCTTGAGTCTGTCTCATTGCTGTAAGAGACTGTGCTTGGGTTAGCTTACTGGTTTCAAGAGGAAAATGAGTCAAATACAGCGACGACATCCCTGACAAGTTTCCTTGGGTCAATCAAGCCAAGTCAGCATTCCTAGAGATTTGTGAGAGTGCCCAGACAAGATCAGTACAGCCACCCATCTGAGTCCAGCCCAGATCAGTCAACTTCCAGCGAAACCAAAGACATGGCAGCTAACAAAATACATTTTGTTATATTCCACTGAGATTTTTTTTTTTTTTTTTTTTTTTGAGATGGAGTTTCACTCTTGTTGCCCAGGCTGGAGTGCAATGGTGTGATCTTGGCTCACTGCAACCTCCGCCTCCCAGGTGAAAGTGATTCTCCTGCCTCAGCCTCCCGAGTAGCTGGGATTACAGGTATGCACCACCATGGCCGACGAATTTTGTATTTTCAGTAGACACAGTGTTTCTCCATGTTGGTCAGGCTGGTCTCAAACTCCCAACTTCGTCACCTCATCCTGAAAATGATCCCTAAAGTTCATTTTAGCACAAATATATACAATTCTGAAACATGATACTATCAAATGTAGATGTTCAGGACTTCAGTCTTATCTTCCTGGGCAAGATGCTAATTCCAATATATCATGTTCATGTGGCAGAGATTGCCTTCATTTTACAACCACACTGTAGAGTGTACGACATGAAACACAGTAATGCTAAAGCCTTATTAGCTGCTTTCTTAGCAAACCATTAAGGGAAAAATGTTAGTCTAGGAACTGCTTTTGAGCATTCCATCCTTTGTGTGAACCCAGTACACATCTGAATCATCCACATTTATTTGGATGG